>NC_000015.10:84471581-84623096 GCF_000001405.40 Homo sapiens | reverse complement strand
AATAATAATAATGTTCTTAGTATACAAAAGCTACCCGACAGGATTCTAGCTCGGCATATATCAAATAAAAAATAAAAGAAGAGGGAAACAAGTGCATAGAATAATTCAGAAATTATGGGGCTATGTACCTGTTGGGCCAAAGGCACAAACCCACCCTGCTGTGTGCAGGACTGTTTTACTCTTGATGAGACAGAAGTTACCATCCACCATGGGTTGGCAGCTAGGGCTCTCGGACTTCACTACACTCTCCAGGACAAAACCCCACGAGAACAAATGTGTTCCCCTGGTAGCTGATCTACCACAGGACAGTAGGCAGAGACAAAAGCAAGCACTGAAATGTCCTCGGTTTACCCCTTTCCTGAAGGCCCTGTCCAACTCTTACCAATGGAAAGGACACTGGGACACTGGCTCCAGGCTGTACTTCCTCAAGTTTCTGTGCTCCTGACACTTTCTGGAAATAGAAAGGGTCTTTACCTTCACGTGGGTGACTCAGAACTGGAGAAGCCCCTCCATCTTGACCTGAAATCAAAGCCCAAGACACCAAAGCCAGAAGAGCAGATTCTAACTGACAGCTTGGGGTGCCCTGGAACACTAACAGCTTGGGGTGAAGGCACCTTAGCCCAACAACGTGGCAGCAAAACAACAAAACAACCAGAACCACACCAATGATTTCCAGTATTTCTCTGAGGACTCGGCCCACGTTGTGGGCCATGCTGTCTTCCATTCCACATGGAGAAACATTTCCCCCCATTTTACCAAAGAGGAAACTGAGGCACAGAGGAATCATGAGAGGGGGCCAATCAAGTCACCCAATGTAAGGGAAAAAGACCCAACTTTCCAGACCTTCCACGCCTATGCCCTGTTCTTGAATGTATACGGGACTTGACTCAGACCACTAAAATGACAGTGTCCTGGAAATGAGGATGAGCAAGGGGAAGACTCTGGCAAAACCCCCCAGAATGTTTAGGAAGCACAGCTCTTTGAAAGGGAATCACTGTTGGGGCAGTGTGGCAACTCCCACTCCAGGCCAGTCCCTCACTTTCACTCTTTGCCACTTCAATAAAGTTTCTCTTTCATGTGAGTTCTCTGATGTGTGATAAAGTTAGAGCTGTTGCTGAAGCCTTTGCCACACTCGGGGCATTTGTAGGGCTTCTCCCCAGTGTGGATTCGCTGATGTATAATGAGGACTGAGTTCCAGCTAAAGCCTTTCCCACACTCAGGGCACCTGTAGGGCTTGTCTCCCAAATGGGCTCTCTGGTGCATGACCAGAATGGAGCCCCGGCTGAAGCTCTTGCCGCACATGAGGCATTTGTAGGGCTTCTCGCCCGTGTGGGTCCGCTGGTGCACTACGAGCTGGGAGCGCTGGCTGAAGCATTTCCCACACTCGCTGCATTTGTAGGGTTTCTCTCCCGTGTGGATCCTCTGGTGCTTGAGGAGGTTGGAGCTCCAGCTGAAGCTCTCCCCACATGTCAGGCACTCGTAGGGTTTCTCCCCTGTGTGCATGCCCTGGTGTGCAATCAGACTGGAGCTCTGGCTGAAGCTCTTCCCACACACCCCACACTTATAGGGCTTCTCCACCATGTGGGTTCTCCGGTGTGTGGCCAGGTTAGAGCTGCGGCTGAAGCTTTTCCCACACTCGCTGCACTGGTAGGGTTTCTCTCCTGTGTGGGTTCTCCGGTGGGTGATGAGGGCTGAACTCTGGCTGAACCTCTGCCCACAGTCGGTACATTTGTAGGGTTTCTCTCCTGTGTGGATTCTCTGGTGTCTGATTAGATTGGAGTTGTAACTAAAGCTTTCGCCGCATTCTTTACATTCGTAGGGCTTTTCTCCAGTGTGGATCCCCTGATGCGTGTTAAGGCTGGATCGGTTGCCAAAGCTCTTTCCACACTCGGGGCACGAGTAGGGTTTCTCTCCTGTGTGGGTGCGCTGATGTGCAATGAGGTTGGGACTCCTGCTGAAGCTCTTGCCACACTCGGCACACTGGAAGGGCTTTTCCCCCGTGTGGATCCTCTGGTGGGTTATGAGGTTGGCACTCCGGCTAAAGCTCTTCCCACAGTCTCTGCATTTGTAGGGCTTCTCCCCGGTGTGAGTGGTTTGGTGTCTACTAAAATTTGAACCATCACTAAAGCTTTTTCCACATTCATCACATTTGTAGTATTTCTCTCCTGTGTGGGTCCTCTCGTGTGTGATGAGGTGGGATTTCCGGCTGAAGGTCTTCCCACACTGGGGACATTCGTAGGGCTTCTCCCCTAGGTAGGTGCCCTGCAGGCCTATGAGCTGGCCAACTTCCCTGTCCTGAGAAACCACCTCCCCGTGGTCCTCACCTGGGCTGTGTCCCTGGAGCCTCTGGATGCCAGCATCTCTCTCAAAGTCACTTTCCCCATCGGAGTGCTGAGCACTTTCACCTTCAGGCATTTCCGAGAATATCTTACGTGATTCATTCTCAAACATGTCTTGATTACAGTTCTCCCCATTTTCACTCTGTATCTCAAAATCTGAAACAATGAAGAAAAACATACAATGTCTACTCAACTCCCTGTCATGATGACAAAAGAAAACGAAGGGGGAAATTTATAAAAATTAAACTTCCAGTGAACACAAAGAGGCTAGAAAATCCTCAAAGCCTTTAATAATCAGGTTTAATATACCCAAAGGAATATAAATCATTCTATTATAAAGATACATGCACACACATGTTCAATGCTGCACTATTCACAATAGCAAAGACATAGAATCAACCCAAATGCCCATCAATGATAGATTGGATGAAGAAAATGTAGTACATATACACCATGGTATACTATGCAGCCAAAAAAAAGAATGAGATCATATCTTTTGCAGGGACATGAATGGAATTGGAAGCCATTATCCTCAGCAAACTAACATAGGAACAGAAAACCAAACACTGCATCTTTTCTCTTATAAGCAGGAGCTGAATGAAGAGAACACATGAGCACATGGAGGGAAATAACACACCCTGGGGCCTGTGGGGGAGGGGGAGGGAGAGCATCAGGAAGAATAGCTAATGGATGCTGGGCTTAATACCTAGGTGGTGGGATGACCTGTGCAGTAAACCACCATGGCACGCATTTACCTTTGTAGCAAACCTGCACATCCTGCACATGTACCCCTGAACCTAAAAGCTGATGGAAAAAAAAAAAAAAAAAAACCAACCCAGGCTTATTTCATTCTGACTGGTTGTCAGGCCTCATAATCTTTGTGGCAATCACCCAGAATTTCAAAGCCTTAAAGATTTGGGTTCCATGTCCCCACTACCTGTGTCTTCATCTGAAAATGAGGTCAGGTGGGAATTTTAAAGGACATAAACAGGGTACCTACCCAATTACCCCCACACTCACCATAATGCCTGGTGCTTGATTCAATGTAATGAGTGCATGAATGAGTTTTTTTATTGGTACCATAGACATTTCCCTAAAGCTCAGTCTCCTTTCAAAAGGAGCTTATATAATAATTTCTTGTATTGACATGTATCTGGTGTTTATGACCGCATTACTTTGTATTTAGACACAGGAAAGATGACAGAGCCCGTGCAATAAGGACCCTAGGTGTGTATACCAATGACTAGAAGCAAGTTAACTGGATTGTTAAAAGAGCCCTCAAATTTGTCTGCAGTGGGAGCTTATGAATAGATTTTTTTTTTTTTTTTGAGACGGAGTCTCGCTGTGTGGCCCAGGCTGGAGTGCAATGGCGCGATCTCGGCTCACTGCAAGCTCCGCCTCCCCAGTTCACGCCATTCTCTTGCCTCAGCCTCCCGAGTAGCTGGGACTACAGGCGCCCACCACCACACCCGGCTAATTTTTTGTATTTTTAGAGAGACGGGGTTTCACCATGTTAGCCAGGATGGTCTCGATCTCCTGACCTTGTGATCCGCCCGCCTCGGCCTCCCAAAGTGCTGGGATTACAGGCGTGAGCCACCGCGCCCAGCCATGAATAGATCTTTAATTGGTAATATGTCTTCCAGGAACTTGTTAAACCTTCCAGTGCCCAAATATTTGAGTAAAAGAAATCATTAGGGAGGACTGCTAGAAGAACATAGCCCCTTCCTTAGATGAGGGACTGTAAAATCTACCCGAGGATGAGGCCAAAGCAGCAGAGAGCTGAGCCTGGATCACACTGTTCTGACCCCCGGCAGAACTGTGTTTACTGAATAGTGTGTTGGCTTCATAGCCCTGGCTGACACTCTAAGAAGTGTCATTAGAAATTAATGACTGACACCGGGCATGGTGGCTCACGCCTGTAATCCTAGCACTTTGGGAGGCCAAGGTGGGTAGATTATCTGAGATCAGGAGTTTGAGACCAGCCTGACCAACATGGTGAAACCCCGTCTCTAATAAAAATACAAAAAAATTAGCTGGGCATGGTGGTAGGCACCTGTAATCCCAGCTACTTGGGAGGCTGAGGCAGGAGAATCACTAGAACCCAGGAGGTGGACGCTTTGGTGAGCCAAGATCACGCCACTGCACTCCGGCCTGGGCAACAGAGCCAAGACTCTGTCTCGAAAAAAAAAAAAAAAATTAATGGCTGTTGGGAACATTAATGCTGCCAGGAAGTTGTTGATGACATTGTTTATACCACACAATGTCCTCTTGATGAGCCTGAGGAGGAAATTTCCCTCTTGACCTCAATCCTAAAAAAAGCTGCACTTTTTTCTATTTTTTAAGACAGAGTCTCACTTGGTCACCCAGCCTGGACTGCAGTGGCGAGATCTAGGCTCACTGCAACCTCAGCCTCCCGAGTTCAAGAGATTCTCCTGCCTCAGCCTCCAGAGTAGCTGGGACTACAGGCGCACACCACCACGCCCAGCTAATTTTTGTATTTTTAGTAGAGATGGGGTTTCACTATGTTGGCCAGGCTGGTCTCAAACTCCTGACCTCAGGTGATCCGCCCGCCTGGGCCTCTTATAGTGCTGGGATTACAGGTGTGAGCTATCGCGCTCGAACTCCTAGTGACATTTCTATTATTAAAGCTAAAAAACTTTATTTAAGGTTAGATGCTCAATTAATTTTCTGTAAGTTAATATAAACTCTTACATATGAACATGATAAAATTGGACATGCCCCTCTCAGGCAGGACCTGGGCTCCACTCTTGCCTTCAGTCAATTTAAGATCACATTTATTTTTATTTTTTATTTTTTTGAGACAAGGTCTTAGTCTGTCACCGAGGCGGTAGTACAGTAGCGAGATCGCAGCTCACTGTAGCCTCAACTTCCTGGGCTCAGGTGACGCTCCCACCTTAGCCTTGCAGGTAGCTGGGATTACACAGGTGTATGCCACCACACCCAGCTAATTTTTTTGTATTTTTGTAGAGATGGGGTTTTGCTATGTTGCCCAGGCTAGTCTCAAAGTCCTGGGCTTGAGTGATCCTCCTGCCTTGGCCTCCCAAAGTGCTGGGATGATAGGCATAAGCCACCATGCCTGGCCATAAGATCACCTTTAAAGTTGAAAACAGGCATATAATTAAACTCCATGCTTACACTGACACATGCTGCTGGTAATCTGTGGGTTCACAGAATTGCCCTCCAGCCCCACCCCTCATATCACTAGGGGACAGATACAGGCACAAGGGGCACAAGGTATACTCTGACTCGGCAGAACCAGGAATTCTGTGTTTCCTCAACTTCCTGCAAGACAGTCTTTTTTTTTTTGGAGTCTCACTCTGTCACCCAGGCTGGAGTGCAGTGGCGCGATCCTGGCTCAGGGCAAGCTCCGCCTCCCAGGTTCAAGCAATTCTCCTGCCTCAGCCTCCTGAGTAGCTGGTACTACAGGCGCACGCCAACACGCCTGGCTAATTTTTGTATTTTTAGTAGAGATAGGGTTTCACCACGTTGGCCAGGCTGGTCTCAAACTCCTGACCTCAAGTGAGCCGCCCGCCTTGGCCTCCCAAAGTGCTGGGATTAGAGGCGTGAGCCACTGCGCCTGGCCATGGAAGACAGTTTTTTTTTTTTTCTTTTTTGAGACAGAGTTTCGCTCTTGTTGCCCAGGCTGGAGTGCAGTGGCGCGATCCTGGCTCCCCGCAACCTCTGTTCCCCGGGTTCAAGCAATTCTCCTGCTTCAGCCTCCCAATTAACTGGGATTACAGGCATGTGCCACCATGGCTGGCTAATTTTGTATTTTTAGTAGAGACAGGGTTTCTCCATGTTGGTCAGGCAGGTCTCGAACTTCCAACCTCAGGTGATTTGCCCACTTCCGCCTCCTAGAGTGCTGGGATTATAGGCGTGAGCTGCCATGTCTGGCCGGAAGACAGTTTTTTGGCAAGTTTTGAGCACAGAGCCCTGCCAGCATCTCTCTTCTAGAAGAACCTGCAGGCCAAGACCCTGATTAATTTTTAGCAAACTAACATGACCAAAAACATTTTTTTGGGTGATTTTAGTAATTGAATAGGTAACATTAGCTAATAAGGCTGTTTTTGCTGTTTTAAAATCAGAACTGGTTAGCTCTCCAATGAGCTCGGAAGCAACAAGGAAAACAAGTAAAATCCAATTTTATTTTCAGTGAGATCAGAAGATAAAATATGTAGGCACCAAAATACATGTCAGGGCTTCCCAAAACAGCAGACTGGGTAAAAGCAATGAGGAAGGAAATGCAATGAATAAGCATGGAGAGCCCTGGGGTGGGAGGGAACAGAACTCAGAAAGCTCAGGCAGAAAATCACTTCCTGTGTTTGGGAACTGGGGTAAGCAGGGCTGGCTTCTTTGGTTCAGAGAGGCAAAGGAGGTGAGGCTGCAACTGGAATCACACAGGGCAGCCATGTACGCAGGAAGCTGTTTCTGGAAAGCAGAGAAGGAAAGAGCCTTTGACCCACGCACATTAATCCAAGGTATTTATTTATTTATTTTTTTGAGATGAAGTCTCACTCTGTCACCCAGGCTGGAGTGCAGTGGCACTATCTTGGCTCACTGCAACCTCTGCGTCCCAGGTTCAAGCGATTCTCCTGCCTCAGCCTCCTGACAAGCTGGAATTACAGGTGCACACCACCACCCCCGGCTCATTGTTTTTGTATTTTTAATAGAGATGGGGTGTCGCCATGTTGGCCAGGCTGGTCTCGAACTCCTGACCTCAAATGATCCAACTGCCTCGGCCTCCCAAAGTGTTGGGATTATAGGCTGGAGCCCGGCCCAAGGAATTACTATTACTGAGAAAAGTGATCATTTCCATCCATAAAAATAATTAAATGAGGCAACTGCCTTTATAAAGGAATACCACAGAGAAGAGCTTGAAGAAGGGATGGTGAGACAACAGGAAGAGATTAAATGTACACTAGAAGAACTCAGGAAAGGAGGGAAAATCAGCCAGAGAAATGAAGACAACAGGAAAAGGAGCGCAATGGGAATAGGCATCTTGGAAAGCACCATTCCAAGAATGGGAAAAAGAGGACCAAAATAAGAAAGCAATGACAGGAAATGGAAACAAAGGAATAGGTTAAAAGGATTAAAAAGAATGACAGAGGGCCAGGCGCGTTGGCTCAGGTCTGTAATCCCAGCACTTTGGGAGGCCAAGACAGGTGGATTGCTTGAGCCCAGCAGTTTGGGACAACTTAGGAAACATGGCAACACCCCATCTCTACAAAAAATACAAAAATTAGCCAGGTGTGGCTGTACACACTTGTAGACCCAGCTACTTAAGAGGCCAAGGCAGGACGATTGCTTGAGGCCAGGAGGCAGAGGCTGCAGTGAGCCATATTTGCACCACTGGACTCCAGCCCGGGTGACAGAGTGAGACCCTATCTTAAACAAAAAGATAGAAACAGAAGTTAGGCAAAAGGAGAATCAGTAAACATAACTGGAGTTCTCAAAAAAACAAAGCAATAGAACTAGTACTTAAAGGCCAGGCGTGGTGGCTCACGCCTGTAATCCCAGGACTTTGGGGGGCTGAGGCAGGCGGATCACAAGGTCAGCAGTTCACGATCAGCCTGGCCAATATGGTGAAACCCCGTCTCTACTAAAAAAATACAAAAATTGGCTGGGTGTGGTGACAGATGCCTGTAGTCCCAGCTACCCAGGAGGCTGAGGCAGGAGAATCGCTTGAACCCGGGAGGCGGAGGTTACAGTGAGCTGAGATCACACCACTGCACTCCAGCCTGGGCGACACAGTGAGACTCCGTCTCAAAAAAAAAAAGAACTAATACTTAAAGATAAAACCTGTAAGGATATAAGAACATGTGAAAGTTACACCATGGGCCAACAAAAACTAACCCAGGGTGGCTAACAGTAAGACCAGTGGACAACAGCAAAAGGATCAAATCACTTACAAGGGGAAAGAAAATCAACTGGTTTCAGATTTCTCTATATTCAGGCTGGGTGTGGTGGCACGTGACTGTAATCCCAACTACTCCGGAGGCTGAGGCAGGAGAACTGCTTGAACCCAGGAGGTGGAGGTCGTGGTGAGCTGAGATCGCGCCACTGCACTCCAGCCTGGGCGACTCTATCTCAGGAAAAAAAAAAGATTTCTCTATATTCGACAAAACTGTCCTTCAAGTATAAACCTATAGGCAAACAGCTTTGAACATACACAAATTAATGGACTGCTAGAGGGGTGAACACCTAATAAATTTAACTTTAGAATGAAGACTAAAACTACCATGGCAACTGGGGTGATTAAAGAGCTTGTGAATGTTATGCGGCAGTGTAGAAATGACATTCTAACCAAAACTGGGGTTGGGAGAAATAAGGTGGTTTATAGGATATGTTCGTTGATTGCCTCATCTGTAATAACCTGGGAGTTCAAAGAATTCACATTTAAAACTGGTAAAGCATGCAGCTAAGTAGAGGTTTGCAAAAATAAACACTAAAAAAGATAAGATTATTGCTTGCAATCCCAGCACTTTGGATGGCTGAGGTGAGAGGACTGCATGAGGCCAGGAGTTCAAGACCAGCCTGAGCAACACAGCCAAGACCTCATCTCTACAAAAAAAAACAGAATTAGCCGGGTGTGTTGGCACTTGCCTGTAGTCCCAGCTACTCAGGAACCTGAGGTGGGAGGATTGCTTGAGGCCAGGAGTTTGAGATTATAGTAAACTATGATCATGCTACTGCATTCCAGCCTGGGTGACAGAGTGAGACTCTGTCTCTGAAAAAAAAAAAAAAAAAAAAAAAAAGAGGCCAAGAGCAGTGGCTCACACCTGTAATCTCAGCACTTTGGGAGGCAGAGGTGGGCGGATCGCAAGCTCAGGAGTTCAAGACCAGCCTGGCCAACATGGTGAAACCCCATCTCTACTAAAAATACAAAAATGAGCTGGGCATGGTGGTACATGCCTGTAATCCCAGCTAGTTGGGAGGCTAAGGCAGGAGAATCGTTGAATCGTTGAACCCAGGAGGTGGAGGTTGCAGTGAGCAGAGATCGTGCCACTGCACTCCAGCCTGGGTGACAGACTGAGATTCTATCTCAAAAAAAAAAAAAAGAAAGATTACTGACTAAAATTGGAGGGGAGAGGGACTATCTCTGTCAGATGTTAAAACATTATGAAATCTCGGCCGGGTGCAGTGGCTCACGCCTGTAATCCCAAAACTTTGGGAGGCCGAGGCGAGTGAATCACCTGAGGTCAGGAGTTCTAGACTACCCTGGCCAACATGGTGAAACCCCATACAAAAATTAGCTGGGTGTGGTGGCGGGCGCCTGTAATCCCACCTACTTGGGAGGCTGAGGCAGGAGAATTGCTTGAACCCAGGAGGCAGAGGTTGCAGTGTACCGAGATTGTGCCACTGCATTCCAGCCTGGGCAACAGAGCGAGACTCCGTCTCAAAAACAAAAACAAAAACATTATGAAATCTCAATAATTAAAACATTAATAGACAATCAGACCAAATAAACAAAATAAAAACTCCAGAAATAGATTCAATAGATATGTAAGTTCAGAATTTAATACAAGTGGAACAGAAATAGACAGGCCAAGAGAAGAGAAAAGATAATCTGTATAATGACTATGAAAATTTAGCATACAATACGGTTGGCCTCTTAAATCCATGGAGAAGAGACACAACATACAATAAATGATGCTGGAAGAACTAGTTACGGAAAACTGGAAAAATTCAATTCAAATGGAAAAATTCAAGCTGGACCCAGAAACGGACAAATCCCAAATGGATCTAAGATTTAAATGTTAAAACAAAAAACCCAAATAGCAGCATCAAACTATTAGATGAACATATGAAAGAATTTCTTTAAAATCTGGCAGCCTTTAAGTGCGATACTTAATTTATGGGGCTATCTTCTTTTAAATGTCAAGTCTTTGAACTCCCAGGTATTACATACAAGACAATCAAAGAACATATCCTATAAAACCACCTTATTCCTCCCAACCCCAATTTTGGTTACAATGTCATTTCCCCCTTTTTTTTTTCTTTTGAGACGCAGTCTCACTCTGTCTTCCAGGCCGGAGTACAGTGGCATGATCTCGGCTCACTGCAAGCTCCGCCTACCGGGTTCACGCCATTCTCCTGCCTCAGCCTCCCGAGTAGCTGGGACTACAGGCGCCGGACACCACGTCCGGCTAATTTTTTTGTATTTTTAGTAGAGACAGGGTTTCACCGTGTTAGCCAGGATAGTCTCGATCTCCTGACCTCGTGATCCACCTGCCTCGGCCTCCCAAAGTGCTCGGATTACAGGCATGAGCTACCGCTCCTGGCCTTTAGAAGGTCATTTCTACATTGCTGTATAACATAAATATCATAAACCTCACTAAGGAGGTCCCTCTGAGTAGAATCCAGGCCCAATAACCCCTTCACTGTACTGCTCAAAGACCAGTCCTATCTTTACAAACACCGCTGCTATCCAGCGAAGACCAAAGGAAGGTTGGCAGTTCTTCACAAGTTGCCCTCTAAGACCAGAGAGACACAGGAGTCATTCTACAGGACAGAAAAGAGTGGCCCTTCAGGTGATCTGACTGACAAGGGCCTCCAAAATGGGAAAAAGTCACTGAGCTGGGAAGAATAAGGGATCCCTGGCCCCCTCCAGGCTCCCTGAGAAAGGCTGGCCCCTATGAGATCCAGAGCACACAGCAGAGCACGTTCAAGGGCAGGTGAGTCCCTCCTTTATTTATTGGTGGCCAATTAAGAAAATGAAAACTCAGAAACTGGTTTTGGTCAGATACAAAAATAATATTCTTACCACGTTGTGAATGGAGATGAGAGGAGATGGTGGCAGCTGGGAATTAAAAAAAAATTTTTTTACTGATAGCAATGGCTTTGGCTACTCCAGGATGCCAAGAGGAGCACATTCTGTGGATATGAGTAGATGTAGGGAGGCGGCTTCTAAGGAAGCAGGCTTATGAGTAAGAGGCTGGATGGCCCAGACATCCACTTTTTTGTTGTTCTTGCTTTTCTGTTTTGTTTTGTGTTTTTTGAGACAGTCTCGCTCTGTCGCCTAGGCTGGAGTGCAGTGGCGCGATCTTGGCAACCTCTGCCTCCCAGGTTCAAGCGAATCTCCTGCCTCAGCCTCCTGAGTAGCTGGGATTACAGGCGCCTGCCATCACTCCCAGCTAATTTTTTTATTTTTAGTAGAGATGAGGTTTCACCACGTTGGCCAGGTTGGTCTCAAACTCCTGACCTCAGGTGATCCACCCACCTCAGCCTCCCAAAGTGCTGGGATGACAGTGTGAGCCACCACGACTGGCCTGTTGTTGTTTTTTGAGACAGTATATCACTGTCTCCCAGGCTGGAGTGCAGTGGTGGGATCTTGGCTCACTTAAGTCTTGACCTCCCAGGCTCAAGTGATCCTCCCACCTCAGCCCCCAAGTAGTTGGGACTATAGGTGTGTGCCACCATGCCTGGCTAATTAAAAAGAAAAAAATTTTTTTTTTGGAGACGGAGTCTTGCTCTGTCACCCAGGCTGGAGTGCAGTGGCGTGATCTCTGTCTCCTGGGTTCAAGCAATTCTCCTAACTTAGCCTCCCCAGTAGCTGGGATTACAGGTGCACACCACCACATGCCCGGCTAATTTTTTTTGTATTTTTCGTAGAGATGGGGTTTCACCATGTTGGCCAGGCTGGTCTTGAACTCCTGACCTCGTGATCCACCCACCTTGGCCTCCCAAAGTGCTGGGATAACAGGCGTGAGCCACCACACCTGGCCAGAACATATTTTCATAATTTTTAGTTCTTCATTTCTAAATTGTTTATATCTTTTACCTTTTATTCTATTTGGTTGACTTTTCTTATGAATTTGCAGAGGCTCTTGTAGATCAAGGATTTTGACTCATGATCTGCTACATTAGACTTGGATGCAAATATTTCCTCCTAATGTGTATGCTGTCTTTTGATTCACAGTATCGTTTTTTATATGAAACACTTCTGTTTTGGCTGGGTGCAGTGGCTCACGCCTGTAATCCCTGCACCTTGGGAGGCAGAGGCGGGCGAATTGCCTGAGTTCAGGAGATTGAGACCAGCCTGACCAACATGGTGAAACCCCATCTCTTCTAAAAATACAAAAATTAGCCGGGAGTGGTGGTGGGTGCCTGTAGTCCCACCTACTCGGGAGGCTGAGGCAGGAGAATCACTTGAACCCTGGAGGTGGAGGTTGCAGTGCCGAGATGGCGCCACTGCACTCCAGCCTGGGCGACAGGGTGAGACTCCATCTCAAAAAAAAAAAAAAAAAAGAAAGAAAGAAAGAAAGAAAGACTTCTGTTTTGAGTCCAATCTAGCTTTGATGACTTCTGTATTGCTTATTCACACTTCATACTTGAATTGTGAGTGCCTAGAGGTTCCTGTCAAACAAACATGAAAGTCCTTCCCGCATGCTAAGATTACAAAAATATTCTCTCACATGTCATTTCAGATCCTGTCTATTACAGATCTGTAATCCATCTGGGACCTATTTTTGTGTAACTTGTAAAGCAGGGATCTATTTCTTTGTAAGCTGCAAAGTAGGTATCCAATTTTAGTTTTTTCAAAATGATTTGACCACTGTCCAAAAATCATTCACTGGAACAGTCCCTGAAGGGCCACAGGACCTCTCCCCTTATCTGTCAGTGGACAAAAGCTGCCACCGTAGCTCAATCTCAGCCAACGGTCCTTGTATTTCTCGCACTTGCCACGTGAGCTCTGGCCTCACGTGCACAGCACAAATTCCCGTGGCCGTTCACAGGGCCCTGCGTGTCCTCGCCTGGCCACAGGCCTCCTCTTTCTCTCCCGCACCATAGAGCATACCAGAATGAACATGGGGAAGACTCATGTCAATAGGGGATAGACCTGACTTTGCTGTAACAATGAAATAAACTGGTCACAGTCTTTGGTGCTTTGGTGTGTGTTTGGCTCAAAATTCTTCTCCAGCCCCTTCCTGCCTGATTGTGTCCTACCCCTGTGTCTCAGCCACTGGTCTAAAATAGAGAAGTGGTTCTGATATAGGGTATGCCCAGCTCCATTCTCACTAGGGCTCTCCCCATTAGAGCGCTGCCCTGGCAAGCCCAGTGGGACTGGGAGCATTGTTCCCCCTGAACTCTGGCTGCTTGAAAGACTAACTGCTGATAAAAACAGCAATGGACTGTTATCAGGTGAAATACATGAATGCTAAACATTTCATAGGTATAACGTTACCGCTCCCTAAGAATTCTGTCCGGTATACTTTTCAAACATTTGAGTAAATTAAAGGTAATTTTTGGGCTGGGCACAGTGGCTCATTCCTGTTATCGCAGTGCTTTGGGTGGCTGAAACAGGAGGACCACTTGAGGCCAAGAGTTCGAGGTTATAGTGAGCTATGATCACACCAGTGCACTCCAGCCTGGGTTGACAGAGTGAGACTTTGTCTCTCTCTCATATATATATCATATGAGATATATCATATATCTCATATATCATATATGATATATATCATAGATATATATGTGTATATATATATATAAAAGTAATTTTGTTTTGAAGCTAAGAATTGTAGCTTTAAAAAGACATAAGCTGTAACACTCTCCACTCCCTTTCTGGCTGAGACAAATGAATGTATGTGTTCATTTGTGGTCATTAAGGGAGCATTTTGCTGGGGCAGCAAGCTCAAAACAAATCACCTGTTGCCTCTGATGGCTGAAAGCCAGATGATGCTGAGGATGGCTGGAGAGGTCAGCTGTGACTCTTTCACTCAACTGTTGGACAAGAGTAGGCTTGAAGTTGATAACCTCTATTCCTCTCCTGGGTAGTGCTTTTCAAACTTCAAAGAGCATAGGAATCACCTGGAGATCTTGTCAAATGCAAATTTGCTTCAGCGGGGCTTGGTGAGACTGACAGTCCTAGTCTAACAAACTCCCAGGTGAGCTGATGCTGCTGGCCCACTGACCACCCCCTGAAGAACAAAGCTCTATGGCAGTGCTCTTTACACTTTGCAGCATAATAGAACTACCTGGGCACTTTCAAAACTCCCTTGCCCAGGCCATACCCCATACCAATTAAATCAGAAAATTAGAATCCCTGGAGTAGGCTCCAGGCCCCCAGGTAATTCTAATGTGCGGCTGAGTTTGAGAACCAGAGGTCTACAGAGGTCTAGTGCAGAGGTTCTCAAATTGGAGTTTGAATCAGGATCACTTAGAATGCTGGGCATCGCCCTCAGTTTCTTTTTTTTTTTTTTTTTTTTGAGACAGAGTCTTGCTGTCACCCAGGCTGGAGTGCAATGGCGCAATCTCAGCTCACTACAACCTCCGCCTCCCAGGTTCAAGCGATTCTCCTGCCTCAGCCTCCCAAGTAGCTGGGATTACAGGCACATGCCACCATGCCTGGCTGATTTTTTTTGTATTTTTAGCAGAGACAGGGTTTCACTATGTTGGCCAGGCTGGTCTCGAACTCCTGGCCTCGAGTGATCCACCCGCCTCGGCCTCACCAAGTGCTGGGATTACAGCCGTGAGCCATTGCGCCCAGCCACCCTCAAAGTGTCTGATTCAGGAGTTCTAGGGTGGGGCTCCGAGGTTCATGATACTGAAGGGAGAGGGAAAGGAAGAGGGAGTAGGGTGGAAGAGAGGGAAGAGGGGGAATGAAAGAGAAAGGAAAAAGACAGGTTCCTTGTCTTCTAGGATTTTACAGGTTCCTAGAAGAAATAAGACAAGTATTCATATAAACAGAAAAGAAGGTGAACTATGATAAAAAGCCAAGAGAGAGAATCCAAATGTTCTGGGGGAGACGACTTCTAGCAGAGGTGATTAGAGGTGCTCCCAGGTGTGTGGAACTGGGGATGGGGAAAAGGGACAGGGTTTAAGAGCAGCTTTATGAAGAGGGTCTCCACGGGTGGGCACTCAAAGAACAACTGGGATTTTATCACAGAGATGGGACAAGGCTATTCCAAGCCAAAAATCCAGGAGCAAGGGCCAGGCGTGGTGGCTCACGCCTGTAATCCCAGCACTTTGGGAAGCCAAGGTGGGTGGATCACCTGAGGTCAGGAGTTCGAGACCAGTCTGACCAACGTGGTGAAACTCTGTCTCTACTAAAAATACAAAAATTAGCTGGGCACGGTAGCACGCACCTGTAATCCCAGCTACTTGGGAGGCTGAGGCAGGAGAATCACTTGAACCCAGGAGGTGGAGGTTGCAGTGAGCCCAGATGGCACCACTGCACTCCAGCCTGGGGAACGTAGAAAGACCGTCTCAAAAAAACAAAAACAAAAACAAAAGCACAGGCTGTGTTCAAGAAAGAGCAAGATCTGGTCTGAATGGAGTGGGGATAGAGCATGGGGGGTCAGGGGTGGGAAAAGACTGCAGGGGAGGTTTGGGCCAGGTCCCACAGAGCCACGGATTCCAAGCAGAACAAGGAGGTCATGCTTGATTTGGTAGATACTGGGAAGCTCATGAAGGTTTTTAAGCAGGAGTGCCCCATCACTCTGGTAGAAGTGGAAGAGCTGGGATGAAGGGGCAGAAGCTGAAGACAGGTTCAGTTTGGCAGCTGCTCCAAGAATTCAGGTGAGAAACTCCACGCATCTGGATTAGGGCTGGGTATGGAGAGTAAAATGTCCTCTGGAAACAGTCACAGAGAGACATAAGCTCTGCCACTTAATCTATTAATATAGGTCCGATCTTCATTAGAATTAGAAGGTACTTGAATTTTGAGTGCCCAGAGGTTCCTGTCAGAAAAACATTAAACCGCCACTGACTAACCAGGCCTGGAAATATCCTGTGCTGGGTGAATGTGTCCAAAGGTCATAAGCTGGACAAACAGAATAGAGGTCACGCGGCCTTATGTCGAGTAAATGTTTGAGAAGGGATGAAGACAAACGCAGGGACTCCTGTGAGCAATCATGAGGAAGGTCGGGGCGTTTATTAAACAAAGACCAACAAAGACAATCTCAGAGGCAGAAGTCAGGGACAGACAAACCCATGTGTCTGGGATGGTCCCCATTGGTTCCCATCTCAGGTGCCCAGTTAAAGATGAAAGGCACAAAGCCCCTGCTGCAAGGTGGATGGGAAGGGCTGTAATCACCTCTGACACCTGCTGAGACCTGAACCTCTGCTCTGTGCCTCCCCAACCAAATAACAACCTGAGGCCTCTCCTCAGCCCTCCATCACTCTCTCCTCCATAGTATCTGACTGGAGATCCAGAAGTTCATTACAAACTGGTCACCTCCACCGGAAGGGAAGCAACGACAGCTACAGCTGTAAAATAGGGAGACAGGTTTGCTTATTTTAATAGAAGGAATAAAATGCAGTTATTTTTTCAGGGCCAAAGAAAATCAAGCACTTTGCTTCAAGCAAAACTGAGATCTCCATGCAGAAAGAGACAGGTCTGGGTTTGAATCCTGGCTCCACCACTCAACAGCCATGTGAGTTTCCTGCACTTATATTTCCTATCTGTGAAATGACAATGCCAGCCACTCACAGGATTCTTAGTGAGACAAGCATGAAGGTGCCCAGGGCAGGGCTGGGTCACTGCAGACCTTCGGCGTCAGTCCCTTTCTCCAGAGGACAGCTCTACTCATTCACCCAGTCCCTGGAGTTTGTGATAGTCTCTGCCCCAAATCCCCTTCAGTTTCCTTCTCTTCTCTTCCCAGTCCTCTGAATCCTCCAGGCCAGATGCTCTGTAGTCACTGTCTTAATTCCATCTGCATCCCCAACTTCCAACACCCACTAGGAAGTGTCTCTTAGAATCATACATATGACAACGCTTAAAAACATGGGCTATGTCCTCACACACATAAGTTCAAATCTTGGTTCTGCCTGGTACAAAGGCACATGATCTTAAGGGATCTCTGGTGATGATAATCCTGCTTATCTTCCAGGGTGGTGAAGATTACATGAGTTTTCCATATTAGATGCTAAGCATATTTCCTGGCTTGCAGAAAGAGCTTGGAAAGTGCTAGCCATGGTGACTATCAGTTCTTTCTCACACGTGCCCCATCTGGGGCAGACCCCCATCACTGCACACCTGAAGACAAGGGAGCTTCCTGGCTGCTCTCCTGCCCCTAGCCTCTCACTACCCTAATCAAACCTACATCCTGTTGCCAAACTCCGCTTCCTTCCATGCCCCTTGGGGGTCTAGTTCAAGAACCCACTGAGGCAAAACATTCAGTCCAAGCCCTCACCCACCCTTCCCCCAAACTCTACTTCCTACCACTTCCTAAAAACACACTTGCCACTCCAATCTGCCAGCTCTCCTGTCACCCAAAGGTATAAACCACCGTGGCTCTGCCCTTCCAAGCCTCTGCTCAGCACAGCTCCTCTCAGCTGCCACACCCTACTCCCTTCTACAACCTCCTGCTTAGGTGTCACCTCCTCCAGGAAGCCTTCTCTGACCTGACCTTTCCTCTCCACGCTCCCTTCTCTGAACTTCCGTAGTTTTCATCAGCACAAAGGCAGCCATATCCTTCGAGCCCTGAGACAGCCCTCAAGGCACATCTGAAGTAAACATTTGGTCATCAAGTGAGTCTACTTTACAATGGAAAACCAGGAGGGAGACAGCGGTTAAACGGCAAGCCAGAATCCCAATACTTATTAGTAACACCGGAAAAAAATAGAGTAACTATTGCAAAGAGCTCAAGTTTGAAATTACGATTTTAAGAGCCCAGGATTACTTTATACCACAGAAAGTCCCTAGTTATTAGCTGGTTTACTTGTCATTTCTCTTGGTTTCATAAAAATAACCACTTTGGGGCCAGGCGTGGTGACTCACGCCTGTAATCCCAGCACTTTCGGGGGCTGAGGTGGGCGGATCACGAGGTTAGGAGCTTGAGACCAGTCTGGCGAACATGGTGAAGCCCCATCTCTACGAAAAATAAAAAAATTAGCCGGGCGTGGTGGCGCACGCCTGTAATTCCAGCTACTCAAAAGGCTGAGGCAGGAGAACTGCTTGAACCCAGAAGACGGAGGTTGCAGTGAGCCAAGATTGTGCCACTGCACCCCAGCCTGGGTGACAGAGCGAGACTCCGTTTCAAAAAAAAAAAAAAAAAGAAAAAAGAAAAAAAAGTCATGTTGAAAATATCAGATTGTTTTCTCTAATTGCAAGAACCATTTGGATGTTTCTTGCACAACCACGTGAAGGTGCCAGGGGTCTCCATCTCCTCCCGTTTAACTTCCATCACCTTCCCAACCACTCCAAATAAACACAGAAGTAAAAACTGTGCTTACAATTCAAATGTAGCTCTAAGGCCCTCCTAGCACTTCTGGAGCTGACTTTGCACACAGTGAGGACACTAAAAGGCTGATGAACACGCTGACTGCCTGCAGACAGAGCAGAGGGATGGCGCTAGCCCCCCACTCTGCCTTGGACACCACCTTCTCCTCCTCCGAAACACCACACTCCTCTACCTTGGAAGGGTGCTCCCGCCCTCTCCCTATGAGGTTCTGCGTCTCACCACTGTCCTGAAGGGTCTGGGTCAAGTCTTCCACCAGGGCCGCTGCCTCCTCACTGCTTTCAGGCCGATGCTCTTGCAGCCAAGCCTGAATTTCCTTTGGCAGCATGGTTAACATCTGCTCCTTGGTGTGTACCTCTGGTCTCAGCCAGCGCCGGCAGAGCTCTCGGAGGCGGCCGAGTGCACCCTGTGGTCCCCTGGTCACCTCCTCCTGGGGGCCGCCCTTGCCAGCACTCTGGGGAAAGGGCTCAGACTCAGGGCCATCCTCCTGCAGCACAGCTTCTTGCACCCAGGAGTCATCCTCCAGGATCATGGTGGTGACCTCCTCCTCCTGTCTATCTTCCTCTTGAGGCACCTGGACCAAGGAGCTCAGCGGAGTGGTCACTCTCGGGATGTCTGCAGCCATCATCCACAGTCCTGGGGCAATCACTTAGGCTTCAAGCCTTGGACCTCAGTCTTCTCCAGCCAGGCTCTCAGGTAAGACACTTCCCTCCTCAAATATCAACAAGTAGTCCCGCTGAGAAACAAAAAAGAGAACCATAATCCATAGGTAGACTGTCCTAAAGCAATCTAACTCACAAAAGCCCAGGTCAGACCACCAAGTGGCCCTTACATATGCAAACCAACAGACGTTTCCTGTTCTTCTTAAAGAAAAAATGGCTTATTCCTGAAAACATCTCTCTGTGGTAAAAGAAGGCTGGGTGCAGTGTCTCATGCCTGTAATCCCAGCACTTTGGGAGGCCGAGGTGGGCGGATCACCTGAGGTATGGTGAAACCCCATTTCTATTAAAAATACAAAAATTAGCCGGGCGTGGTGGCGGGGGCCTGTAGTTCCTGCTACTTGGGAGGCTGAGGCAGGAGAATCTCTTGAACCCAGGAGGCGGAGGTTGCAGTGAGCACAGATCTCGCCACTGCACTCCAGCCCAGGCAACAGAGTGAGACTCCGTCTCAAAAAAAAAAAAAAAAAAGTATCCCAAGCACAAAAAATACAGCATTGTTCCTTCCAAAACACCAAAGAATGAGTATCAGAAATGCAAAGTCCCCGGGAAAAACCCATGACTGAAATACTGAGGACTCTCCTAAGTCAGTTTCGACTTGCACTGTGTGACCTTGACCTAACATACAACTTAGTCACCAAACTCGGTGACCACCTAATAAAGATAATAACACTCATGTTTCTGTTTTTATGGGGGCATCTTAAGGATCAGCAATGGATCAGATGTCAAAGCACTCTGAGCTTCTTTGGAAGAAAGGCAATATCTCAACTGCATTATTACCATACTTTAAGTATGAAGTTTAAAACATGCATATACTCTCCAATCCAGCCTCGGCCCCTCAGTACTTTATCTTAAAAAAATAACCAAAAAATCGAGTCCTTAAAAATCCAGCAGCAGGGAATGGCTAATAAACTATGACACACCCATATAGCAGCATGTATTAGAAACTGTGCTATAGGCTTGGCGTGGTTGCCTGTAATCCCAGCACTTTGGGAGGCCTCGGCAGGCGGATCACTTGAGGTCAGGAGTTCGAGACCAGCCTGGCCAATATAGTGAAACCCCGTCTCTACCAAAAATACAAAAATTAGCCAGGCATGGTGACGGGCGCCTGTAATCCCAGCTACTCAGGAGGCTGAGGCAGGAGAATTGCCCGAACCTGGGAGGAGGAGGTTGCAGTGAGCCGAGATCGTGCCACTGCACTCCAGTCTGGGCGAAAGAGCCAGACTCTGTCTCAAAAAAAAAAAAAAAAAAAGAAAAGAAAAGGAAAAAAAAGAAAAGAAACTGTGCTATAATAATGGCTACCTTTAGGTGGTAATGACAGGAAAGGGGCTCAAAGGAGCCTTCTGGGATGATGGAAATTTTCAATATCTTCATTTGGCAATGGCGGCACAAGAGCAAACATATGAAATTTAAGATCTGCACATTACGCTGTATGTTTTTAATATTTTAAAAATTATATTGACAAAGATTAATCATTAATGATTTAAGATAATCCTTCTGATAGGAAAATAATGGATAAACACAAAATCAGCAGGGCAGAAAAACCATAGACACAGTAAGTCCTCAATTCCCTTTAAAAATGAACTCACAGCCGGGCGCGGTGGCTCAGACCTGTAATCCTAGCACTTTGGCAGGTTGAGGCGGGCGGATCACCTGAGGTCGGAAGATCGAGACCAGCCTGACCAACACGGAGAAACCTCGTCTCTACTAAAAACAAAATTAGCCAGGCGTGGTGGCGCATGCCCGTAATCCCAGCTACTCCGGAGGCTGAGGCAGGAGAATCGCTTGAACCCGGGAGGCAGAGGATGCGGTGAGCGGAGATCAGGCCATTGCACTCCAGCCTGGGCAACAAAAGCAAAACTCCGTCTCAAAAAAAAAAAAAAAAAAAAATGAACTCACAGGAAAAAAGAACGGGACGGCACCTACAAAATATTGAAAGCAGTGGAATTGCAAACGACTTAAAATATTATAAAAGCAATACAAAATTATTTTTAGCCCAAGCGCTGTAGCTCACGCCTGTAATTCCAGCACTTTGGGAGGCCGAGGAGGGAAGATGGCTTGAGGCCGGGAGTTCATGACCAACCTGGGCAACAGAGTGAGACCCAGTCTCTACAAAAATAAAAAAATTTTTTAAAAAATCATTACTACATCATAAAGACTCAACTAACAACCCTCCCTCAATGAAAAGGGGAGAAAAGCTGACAAAAGCTTAAAAAAAAAAGGACAAAAAATAAAAGCTAGTGGGAAAACCGAAGCTCTCAACGTGTATTTACTCAAATGACTAGAAGAAATACTGGCATATGGTGTAAGAGAACTCTTCCTACTTGGGAGCCTGGGAAAAGTGTGCCAGGTCAGCTAATTTGCGGTCTGACTTGGGGCACGACACGCCCCCTCTGAACCTCAGTTTCCCCATCTGTAAAACGTGTACGCTGCGCGGGATGTCGTCGAATGCCCCTTCCCGTCCAAAGCCTGCGCTTCTCGGTAGGAGAGGCAAGGAGCTCTCCGCCAGGGAGACGCGTCCGGGACGGTTCGCTGAGCGGAGCCGGCGCGTAAATCGGGGCTGCAGGGCCCGCAGGATACGGAGCGCGACCCCGACGCCCCTCCCCCAGCAGAGCTGCCGGCAGCTGGCTCCAGGCCCACTATTCCCTCACCTCGGGCTACTGCCCGGGGTCCGCGTGGCTCCAGGCCTGCCTCTCCGGCTCACCTCTCGGGAGACCAGGTCCTGCTCTAGCGGTTGCTTCGCGTGCGAAAGCGCCCCCGGGCTCGGCCCGGCCCCTCCAGATTCACCCCGGCTCAAGCCCGTGGGGCACCGAGAACAATGGACGGGAGAGGCCCGCCCACCGCCGCGCTCATTGGCTGCCGAGAACGGCCCTGGAAATTCTGCCTTTCTGTTGGTGGAGACGGCACCCAGCCGGGCGGCAGGAGGGAGGCTGGGCCCAAGGCATTGTGGGAGATGTAGTCCGCCCGGAGACGAACCTGACCGCGGTCCCCGGAGTAGGGTTTGGGGCTGACAGCCTGGGCAGTGCCTGCGGACCAGAGGCAGGAAAATCCGCAGACTGACCGTCAGAAACCCTGTGTTGGCTAGAGCTGTAACCCGAGACAAGCCGTTTCACTTATCTAAGGCCTCTGTATATTTGTCTATAAAAAGTGAAAGTTGGATGGCCGGACTTGAAGGACCTTTTCGGCTGCGAACCTTGTGGCAAGGAGTATTGTTAGGCACCCTCGACCGGCGAGAGCGGACCCTGGGCAGGAAGGGAATCCATGGGGGAACAAATCCTCATCGCCCAAGCCTGGCGCCTTTCCCCCAGTTTGCAGCTGTACACATGCACCCGGTCTTCGCACACCCCTTTGTTTTCGCACGTGGTATTCCTGTGTTTGGAGGAACGCCCTGCCCCGCCTCCTCTGCCGCGGAACTCCCATTCTTCCAGCTTCTCCTGGGTGGAGCCTGCCCTGTCATCACCACCTCCCCAGGCAGAGACACCGCCCCTAGTACACGTGTTGGACGTCCCCATTTTATTTTTTAAATATATATATGTATGTATTTGTATATATATATATATATTTATTTATACACACACACTCACAGACAGGATCTACATTTCATAGAGACAGGGTTTCCATATGTTGCCCAGGCTGACCTCGAACCCCTGGGCTCAAGCGATCCTTCCTCCTCAGCCTCCCAAAGTGCTGGAATTACAGGTGTGAGCCACCGCACCTGGCTGACGTCTCCATTTTAGTACTGATCACCGGGTTGCTTACTTGTCAATCTCAGTATGGGGGAAGGGAGGGTGCCCGGGTGTGGGAGGTTGGCCTCCATCTTTGTGTTTTACGGCTGGCGCTGTTGAAGAAACGGCTGCCCCAACCCTGCTTGAAAACAGGTGAGAAACTACCTGGAAACTCAAGCGGAAAATCTAAAAATGGAGAGAGACACCCTTAATGGTCTGTGATAGAATAGTTATGTATGTTTGCACTGAGCAATTACTGGAGGCACCTGCAATGAAATGACTGCTTTTTTTTTTCCTCCTCTGTCGCCCAGGCTGGAGTGCAGTGACACGATCTCGGATCAAGTGATTCTCCTGCCTCAGCCTCCCAAGTAGCTGGGATTACCGGCGTGCGCCACCACACCTGGCTAATTTTGCGTGTTTTTAGTAGAGACAGAGATTTCACCATGTTGATCAGGCTGGTCTTGAATTCCTGACCTCAGGTGATCCAGCCGTCTTGGCCTCCCAAAGTGCTGAGATTACAGGCATGAGCCACGTGCCCGGTCCTTTTCCCATTTTTAAATTGGATTTATTTGTAAGAGCTCTTTGTATATTAAGAAAATTATCCCTTTGTCACAGCAGTTGCTACTCTTTCTCAGTTTGCTGTTTGTTTTCTGCTGGTTTATTAAATATAGAAATTTGAAATTTTTTTGCAGTCAAATTTGTTAATCTTATCTTTTTATAGCCTGTGAGTTTTGTGTTAGAAAGTCCTCTGCACCACTCCAAAGATTATGTGAAATTCACCTGTTTTTCACTAATTAACCTCTTGAATCCAATTACAGAGATGCAAAGTGAAGTTCAGCTAGTGATTCTTATCCAATACCCTGGTAGCATCTTTATTATCCCAGACTGACCACATGCAAATAGCACCACCTCCAGGCCAGCCTGAGAAGTCTGCACTAAGCCCCTGGATGCAGAATTCTGGGCCACCACCCCTCCAAGTGATTTTTTTTGGGATGACATTGTATTAAAAAAGATGGGTTTCTCCATGTGTCCATCCTTACCAGGAATGGAAATTTACACAAAAAGGAAAAGATGCAGGGGAGGCTGGGGATGCACAGATGGAACTTTCCAGCAGCTCAAGCGTTTATTTACCTCTGTTCCTAACCCATGTCAACCCTTGACCACAGAACTGGCACTAGCTTGTCACTGGAGAGTCCTAAAGAAGCTGTCTCCTCTGTGTCTGATTCTGGGAAGCTGGTCCTTGCCAGTGTCAACTATCCTACATGAGACAGAGAGAAAGTCACATTTAAGACCAATTCATGGCATAATGATCCTACTGAGAAGGGCCCTGGTAGCCAAGCCAGTACCCTAAGACCAGCCTGCTACATCGAAGCAAGCCTGGAAACACAGCCAAGTTCAAGGTTGCTCCCCCAAGAGAGTCCTTTCTCCATTGGCCAAACCACAAGGGTGAGAGAGGCTCTGTTCCACCAGAAAGCATTCTTGGTTAAAAGCTTAAGAACTAATCTGGCTAACTTAAGTAAAAGGGACTTACTGAAAGACTGTCAGGGAACTGACAGAGTAGAAGGGAGCTGACGAATCAGGCTTGAGAACAGTTAGGAGCCAAGAGACAAAGAGGAAGTCCCCAAAAACCACAATAACAGTCTCTGAGCAGAAAAAGTTCAGCTTGCCTATCCCATGACCTCTGGTGGTACTACAGCCATCTCTGTTTCTCCGCCTTTCTCACACAAATTCTCCCATGCAAGGAAAGAGCATTTGGTTGGTTGAGTCTAAGTCACATGCACATTCCCTGGATGCAGCAGGGTGAGAGAGGATTGGATGTGGCTCCTAGATTTTCTTACTAATACCCCACACAAAGGCAGATTCTCCACTCTGGAGACTGAAGGCCTGTTAGGAAACACTGGACAGGCAGAAACAATATCACTACTTGTCTTTAGGCTCTGAGCAAGAAGGGACCTCACCCCAAGGAATGCTCAGCCTAAGGCATTTGGGGGCCCTTAGCTCATCTAGAGTTGATGAAAAATGATGTGGGTGGGAATGGGGAGAACTGCTCCATAACAGTTCTTTCCATAACAGTTTTGATTGGAGAGTTTAGTCCATTAACATTCAATGTTAGTATTGACTTATTCTTGCCATTTTGTTTTCTGGTTGCTGTGGTCTTCTCTTTCTTCTTTTCTTTCTGTCTTCCTTATTGTGAAGGTGATTTTCTCTGGTAGTATGATTTAATTTCTTGCTTTTTGTGTTTTGTGTATTTATTGCATATTTTTAAATTTGAGATTACCATGAGGCTTGGAAATACCATCTTATAACCCATTATTTAAACTGATGACAACTTTGCACTGCTTGCACAAAGGAACAAACAAATAAACAATGAAACAAATAAAAAGAAAACTAATAAAAACTCTATTTTAATTTGTCCTGCTTTTTAACTTTTTGCTATTTCTACTTACATCTTATTGCACTGTCTATGTCTTGAGAAGTTGTTGTACTTATTACTATTTTTGTTTGGTTCATCTTTTAGTCGTTCTACTTAAGAGTTGTTTGCACAATTGCCGTGTTATAATA
Organism: Homo sapiens; assembly: GCF_000001405.40. Classification (NCBI taxonomy): domain Eukaryota; kingdom Metazoa; phylum Chordata; class Mammalia; order Primates; family Hominidae; genus Homo; species Homo sapiens. Next base: position 84,597,552 of record NC_000015.10, on the reverse strand, counting down.
CTCTGTGTTTTTCTGTGTACTTACTATTACCAGTGAGTTTTGTAACTTCACATGATGTCTTATTGCTCATTAATGTCCTTTCGTTTCTGATTGAAGATGTCCCTTTAGCATTTCCTGTAGGATAGGTCTGGTGTTGATGAAATCCCTCAGCTTTTGTTTGTCTGGGAAAGTCTATTTCTCCTTCATGTTCAAAGGACATTTTCACTGGATATGTTATTCTAGGGTAAAAGTTTTTTCCTTCAGCTCTTAAAATATGTCATGCTGCTCTCTCCTGGCATGTAAGGTTTTCACAGAAAGTCTGCTGCCAGGCGTATTGGAGTCCCATTGTATGTTATTTGTTTCTTTTCTCTTGCTGCTTTAGGATCCTTTCTTTATCCTTGACCTTTGGGAGTTTGAGTATTAAATGTCTTCAGGTAGTCTTCTTTGGGTTAAATCTGCTTGGTGTTCTATAATCTTCTTGTACTTGAATATTTATAGCTTTCTCTAGGTTTGGAAAGTTCTCTGTTATTATCCCTTTGAATAAACTTTCTATTTCTCTGTTTCCTCTTTAAGGCCAATAACTCTTGGCTTTGCCCTTCTGAGGCTGTTTTCTAGATTTCGTGGGCATGCTTCATTAAAAAAAAATTTTTTTTGTCTTCTCTAACTGTATATTTTCAAATAGCTTGTCTTCAAGCTCACTAATTTTTTCTTCTGCTTGATCAATTCCACAATTAAGAGACTGATGCATTCTTCATTATGTCAATTGCATTTTTCAACTCCAGAATTTCTGCTTGATTCTTTTTATTTCAATCTCATTGTTAAATTTATCTTATAGAATTCTGAATCCTTTCTGTGTTATCTTTAATTTCTCTGAGTTTCCCCAAAACTGCTATTTTAAATTATCTGTCTGGAGGTCACTTATCTCTGCTTCTCTAGGATTCGCCCCTCTAGTTTGTTTGGTGAGGTCATGTTTTCCTGGATGGTCTTGATGGTTGCAGTTGTTTGTCAGTGCCTTAGCATTCAAGATTTATGTATTTATTGTAGTCTTCTCAGTCTGGGGTTGTTTGTACCCATCCTTGGGAAGGCTCTCCAGGTATTTGAAGGATGTGGGTCTTGTGATCTAAACTGTATCTGCATTAGGGGACACGCCAAACCCAGTAATGCTATGGTTCTTGCAGACTCATAGAGGTACTGCCTTGGTGGTCTTGGGTAAGATCTAGAATTCTCTGGACTACCAGGCAGAGATTCTTATCCTCTACCTGTCATTTCTCCCAAACAAACAGTCTCAGTCTCTCTCTCTCTGCTGAGCCACTTGGAGCTAGGGGTGGGCTGACACAACATCCCTATGGCCACCACCACTGGGACTGCAATGGATCAGACCTAAAGCCAGCAAAGCACTGGGTCTCACTCAAAGCCTGCTGTAAACACTACCTGGCTATCCCCTATGTTCACTCAAGGCCTAGGGCTCTACAGTCAGCAGGTGGCAAAGCCAGCCATGTTTGTGTCCTTCCCTTCAGGCCAATGAGTTCCCTCAGGCCCTGGCGGGTCCAGAGATGCTGTCTGGGAGCCAGGGACTGGAGTCAAAAACCTCAGAAATTTACCTGGTGCTTTAGTCTATGGTGGCTGAACTGGCACTGAAACCATGTGAAAAAGTCCTTCCCATTCTTCCTTCCCCTTTCCACAGGCAGAGGAGCCTCACCCTGTGGCCACCCCCACAGGCCCACAGCGAGTACTGCCAAGCTACTGGCTATGTTCACTTAGGGCCCAAGGGCTCTTCAGTTGCTTGTGGTGAATGCTTCCAGGCCTGGGACTCACCCTTCAGGGTGAGGTCAGAGCAGGTCCAGAAATGCTGTCTAAGAGCCAAGGCCTAGAATCAGTGACCACAAGAGCCCATTTGATGCTCTACCACATTGTGGCCAGGCAGGTACCTAAGCTGCAAGACAGAGTCCCTTGTGCATTTCTCTCTGCTTTTCTCAAGCAGAAGAAGTCTCTCACCACAGCCACCATAGCTGGGAATATGCTGGGTCTCACCCGAAGCCAGCATGCCTCAGAGTCTTACTCCAGGCCCATAGCATACTACCTGGGTATCACTGCAGGTTATTTGGGTCAAAAGGGCTCTAGAGTCAGCAGATGATGAATCCTGCCAGGACTGGGTTCTTTCCTTCAAGGCAGCAGGTTCCCTTCTGGCCCAGGGTGTATCTAGAAATGTAATTCAGGAGCTACGTCCTGGAATGGAGGCCTCTCAACTCTGACTAGTGCTCTATCCTACTGTGGCTGAGCTGGTATCCAAGATGTAAGATAAAGTCCTCTTTACTCTTCCCCCTCCTCTCCTCAAGCAAAAGGAAGAAGTCACTTTTGTTGCTGCAAGCTGTGCTGCCTGGGGTTGGGGGAGGGGTGGTGCAAACCCTCCCTTGGCTCCCTTGCCTGGTGTCTCTCTAGGTTGTGTGCCCCGAGTCCACTGGCTCTGAGCCCAGCATGGCATTAGGAATTGCCTAGGAGTTGAAGTCCTTATGGTCTAGACTGGCTTGAAAGTTTATTTAGGGCCCCAGAGCATGATAGCCTGCCATGCCAAGGCTTGTCAAAACCCAAGCCTCAAGCCTCCTAACTACTGGGATGGGTGAAGTCCTCTGGGTAGGGCTGGTCTAAATGCTCCCTCCATGGGCAGGTGTCATGAGAGTTCCACCTGGTTTTGCTTTCTGCTGTGACAGGGCAGCACTGAGTTCAGTGCAAAGTCCCACAGTTGCTGCATTCTCCCTCTCCCAAGTGCACAGATTCTCTCAGCACCACAGCGGCCACTGCTGAGGGATGGGGGAGGGGTGACATCAGTGTTTCAAGACTGTCTTTCCCACCCTCCTCAGTGCCTCTTTCAGCGATATGAAGTTAAAGCCAGGTACTTTGAGTCCTCACCTGATTTTTGGTTCTTATGAAGATGCTTTTTTGCTGTGGACAGTTGTTAAATTTGATTTTCCTGCAAGGAGAATCATTGGTGGAGGCTGCTATTCAGCCATCTTGATCTGCTCCTCCTCCCTCACCGAACTTTAATTATCTCCTAAGAGCTCTATTTCCAAATACAATCACATAGCAGATCAGAGCTCCAATGTATGAATTTTGGGGAGACCCAATTCAGTCTATAGCATTTGGACTGGGGGAGAGGGAGGAAGAGAACATTCAGAGGAAGGACACAGTATAAGCAACAATTTGGAGGTGGGAAAGTTCACAGCTCATGGATAGAAAAAAAATGATCCAGTTTGGCAGGGCCCACAGGGAGATGTGGTGGAGTGGTGAGAGGTGGGCCACATCAGAAAGAACCTTGAATACCAGGCTGAGGTTGGAGACATTTCCTGTTGTGTTGAAGGTGCCATGAGGTGGTAGGGAGGTAACATGATGAAAGGATATTTGGGAGGATGGATCTGGTATCAGTGATGGGCGGGGTAAGGAGTGAACTAAGCTGGAGGCCAGGAAACTGGACACACAGCCCAGAGTTTAGGCTTAGGCTGTTCAAAGGCACTGTTTCCACACTGAGTTCCAGTATGGATCAAAGCATGCAGAGGGTGGATGATTTGGAAAAGCAAAACCATTCTCTTCCCATTACCACACAGTTTCCCAGCTGAGCTCATCACCAGAGTCCTACAAATCAGACAGTCAACCTGCCCCAAACTCTGTCCCTAGAGGCTGTGACCCAGAGGGAGCCCTTGTCCAGCTGTAGCCCAGGGACACTGCAGCCTGAGCAGGACTGCACCTGTTCCCTCCCAGGAGCCTCATCTCTGTGTAGCCTGGCTTTGGCTTCAAATGCCCTCAGCTTTGGCTTCAAAATCTGTTGGGTCAGATTCATGAGAACTCTGGCCTTCTTTGGTTTAGGGATTTTAAAATAGTTTTTTCAACAAGCAGTAGATGAGCTCTGTTTGCTTACCTCTAAGAACTGGCCAGAACTCACAGAAAACTGTTATACTCACAGTTATGGTTTGATTACAGGGGAAGGATATAGACTAAAATCAGCCAGGGGAAGAAAGGTATAGGGCTGAGTCCAGGAGGGCACCAGACATGGAGTGTCCATTATCCCTTCCCCATGCAGTCAGAGTGCATTACCCTCCTGACTTTGCTATGTGCCAATACACATGGAGTATTCCCAGCCAGTGAGGCTCCCTCAAGCCTCAGTGTTCAGGGTTTTTACTGGAACTTCATCACAGAGGCATGCTTGATTGTCCACGTGGTTGCTCTTAGTTTCGAGTCTCCCATGATTCCAGGGGTGACATAAAGCCTGGACTCTAAATCACATAGTTGGTTTTCCTGGACTGGCTGGTCCCCACCCTAAATCTTTCTACTAGACTATCCATCAAGACCCGAGATCCACAGGCAAAGATATTCCTGTCAGGCATTACATGTTGGAGATTACCTCCTAGGAGTCGAGGACAAAGGCCAGAACTCTTTTGGGTCAAGATTAATTTTTTTTTAGCTATACAACATACCATCATTCTGTTATCCTTCCTTTCTGTTTTATCTTCAAAATAACCCTAATTGGTGGGTAAGGATGTTTATTATTATAAACAATATGTCGAAAGGAAAGACACTTGAGCAAAGTTGCACAGTTGATTCTTGACTCATGGTATAATGCTCTTTCCACTCTCTGAGAACCCTGAGTCTTGAGAAGAAGATGGAAGATGTGTACATATGTGTGTGCACATGTGTGTTTGTGTTTGTAAATGTATATCTAATAAGTACATGTAGATATGTGTATGTTTCTGTGTGTGTGTTTGTGTATACATGTGGATGTGTGGGTATCTATATTTATGTTTGTGTGTATGTGTACACATGCTCAGGGGGAAGGTTAAAGAGAAAATCAGCAGGGCGCAATGGTGCACACCTGTAATGCCAGCTACACGGGAGGCAGACGGGGGAGGATCACTCGAGCCTGGGAGTTTGACAGAGAAAATTTCAATAATCTTCTTGGTGTTAGAAGGAAAAACCTGGGGCTGGGCATAAAGAGACATAAAACAGCATAAAGAGGAAAAGAAATGCCTAATGAAAAACAAGTGACCAATAATTAATTAGTTCATTTATAAAGAAATACAGCACTGGCCGGGTGTGGTGGCTCATGTCTGTAATCCCAGCACTTTGGGAGGCCGAGGGAGGCAGATCACGAGGTCGGGAGATCAAGACCATCCTGGTCAACATGGTGAAACCCCATCTCTACTAAAATACAAAAAATTAGCTGGGTGTGGTGGCGCACCTGTAGTCCCAGCTACTCGGGAGGCTGAGGCAGGGGAATCACTTGAACCCGGGAGGTGGAGGTTGCAGTGAGCCAAGGTTGCTCCACAGCACTCCAGCCTGGCGACAGAGCAAGATTCTGTCAAAAAAAAAAAAAAAAAAAGAAAGGAAAAGAAAAGAAATATAGCACTTTAGCAGCAGAATAAAACTGGAAGATAATTTCCTCTAGAACCCTGATAATCTTTGTGAGAAAACTGTTGGTCACATATGTTAACTGCCAAAACTTGCAGGACCCTGTGCAACAGAACTGGCAAGTAAAACCATCTTTCTTTCTTAGACTTGCTATGCTACAAGTGGCATTCAACTAGTTCTCAATCCAGATTTCATGAACCTGTCTCCAGCTTCCAGATGGTGAGGGAAAGTGTGATGAGACTTTAGGATAAATTGTGCCTGTCTCTGAGTCCATCTCCTCCTATTGAAGAGAAGGAAAATGAGGCTAGCGCATTACAGCCCTGTGTGACAAAAGTCACAAGATAAGCAAATAATTATTATTTAAAACCAGAGAGTCCTATAACTTATTCACGAATGCCACACATTCTATATTAGATCTTCCATTTCAATTTACTCGTATTCTTTCAAGGAAATTTATAAGATTTGTATTATTCAGAAAATGCTCCCAAGCTAATAGAAGAAAATACTGTAACTACAGGAAGCATCAGGCTACACAATATGGTATGGTGGTGAAGTGTGTAGCTTCTAAAACCAGAAAACACAGGTTCAAGCCCTGGCTCTACCACCTTGGGAAAGTTACATGGTCTCTCTCTGCCTGAATTTCCCCATTTAAAATGTGGGGATGACAATAATAGTGTCTATTTCACAGAGGTGTTGTGAGGAAAATAATATATGTGAAGCCACTTTGAACAGCAGTTAGTGGTATGTAAGTGTGTGCTATTGTTATTTTAACATTTCAGGTTATAAATATCTACCCTGTTATTCAGATGACAAGTGTCTGTAAGCTGATAACATGATGAAGAGCTTCTGTGTTCCTTGGTTTTCCATCAGCTTTGTAAGGAAAAAAATACCACACAAAGAAGAGCAACTGATGCAGTCATGAGAAGGAAAGTTGGCTTAAGATTGGGGGGCTTGGGTTTATTAGGCTTTCATCTTCTAAAAATTTCCTAAGCTCCATCGATAAGAAGATTTTTAATATCAATCCAGCTAAAAAGTACCAATAGACCCCACAAGACACTGAGTTAGACATAAAAATGGAAGGGTAATAAATAGCCAGGTACGGTGGCTCATGCCTGTAATCCCAGCACTTTGGGAGGCCGAGGCGGGCAGATCACGAGGTCTGGAGTTCGAGACCAGCCTGGCCAGCATGGTGAAACCCCATCTCTACTAAAAACACAAAAATTAGCTGGGCATGCTGGTGCGTGCCTGTAATCCCAGCTATTCAGGAGGCCGAGGCAGGAGAACTGCTTGAACCCAGGAGGTGGAGGTTGCAGTGAGCCGAGATCATGCCACTGCACTCCTGCCTGGGTAACAGAGCGAGACTCTGTCTCAAAAAACAAAAAAACAAAAAAAGGAAGGGTAATAAATAAAATATGGGAAACCACACAAGCAGAAAAATAAACAACTACCAGTACCCAGAACATGGCTAAATCTCATAGGATGATGTTGAATGAAAGAAGCCAGCCACAAATGTGCACATACTGTATGATTCCATTTATATGATGTTCAAGAACAGGCAAAACTATTCCATGGTGACAGAGGTCAGTATCGTGGTTAACTTTGAGAAGAATAGCAACTGAGAAGGGGCAAGAGGGAGTCCTCTGTGGTGATGCAAGCATTCTGTATCTTGAACTGAATGATGGTCACGTGAGTGTGCACATATGTAAATAGTATGGAGTTGTAACTTAAGGTATATGCACCTCACTGTATGTAAGATACTGTCTTAGTCCATTTGTGCTGCTGTAACAAAATAGCTGAAACTGGGTAATGTATAAAAACAAAAATGTATTTCTCACAGTTCTGGTGGCTGGGAAGTCCAAGATCAAGGTACCAGCAGGTTTGTAGTCTAGTGAGGGCTGCTCTCTGCTTCGAAGAAGGCACGTTGAATGCTGAGTCCTCCAGGGATGAGGAAGGCTGTGTCTAACATGGTGGAAAGGACAGAAAAGCAAAAGACCAAAACTGAGCTGGGTAGCTCCCTCAAGCCCTTTCATAAGGTCACTAATCCCATTCATGAGGGGGCTTCTCCCTCACTACTTAGTCATCTCCTAAACACTCCACCTCTTAATACTATCACATTGGGTCTTAAATTCCAGCATGAATTTTGGAGGAGACACAATCATTCCAACCATAGCAAATATACTTTACTAAAAAAGAAGAAAAAAAGGAAAATCTTGCCTCTAAACATAATATTTTAAGAGTTTAGGCCAGGCATGGTGGCTCATGCCTGTAATCCTAGCACTCTGGGAGGCCGAGGCGGGCAGATAACTTGAGGTCAGGAGTTTAAAACCAGCCTGGCCAACATGGTGAAACCCCATCTCTACTAAAAATACAAAAAAATTTTCCGGATGTGGTGGCGGATGCCTGTAATCCCAGCTACTCAGGAGGCTGAGGCAGGAGAATTGCTTGAACCTGGGAGGCGGAGGTTGCAGTGAGCCGAGGTCGCACCACTGCACTCCAGCCTGGGTGACACAGTGAGGCTCCATTTCAAAAAAAGAGTTTATATATTTACAGCCCAATTTTCTGCTTGCTTGCATACATATTTGTGACCATGAGTGTCATTCTTAGCTGAGAAAAGTTTCAGTAAATTAAATTTTTTTTCACATTATCTATTAATATCCTATTCAGATAAAACCAAATTTCTAACCTAGATTTTAGGTTAAGACAGAAACCCACAGTCGTTGGTTGCAATGTGAGAATGACAGAGAGATTAACTAGCAGCATCCAACTATAAAAATACATTTAAGGGCACAATTCTCTACTAATGACTCCCCCAGACAAATCATTACTTGGATAAATAAAAATGGAAGTGAGCAAAGTTTGAGTCCGTTTTGCAATGGATGTTTCCGAGACTACTAAGTGAAGAGGGTTCAGAAACAAGGGGATAAATGGCATGCTAATTTGGGGTTGAATGGCGTAATGGGATGATCTTGGAAATATAAAAATCCTGCTTAATGGGGCTTGTCTACTTGCAATTCAATAAATCAATATACGTAAATTCAAAGAGACAAAGGACATGAGCACTCAGAACAAAATTACAGGAACAGGGCCAAGCGCGGTGGCTCACGCCTGTAATCCCAGCAATTTGGGAGGCTGAGGCGGGCGGACCACCGGAGGTCAGGAGTTTCTGACAAGCCTGGCCAAGGTGGTGAAACCCCGTCTCTACTAAAAATACAAAAAGTAGCTGGGCATGGGGGTGGGCGCCTATAGTACCAGCTACTTGGGAGGCTGAGGGAGGAGAATCACTTGAACCCGGGAGGCGGAGGTTACAGTGAGCTGAGATCGCGCCACTGCACTGGATCCTGGGCGAAAGAGTGAGACTCCATCTCAGAAAAAAAAAAAAAAAAAAAATTCAGGAACAAATTTAGCAAAGAGGCACCAAAGTTGAGATAAGGCCCACTGTTCCACGTCTGACATCTTTAATTCCTGAGTCATGGGGATAGTAAGCCAGGAACAGAGTCTTCTGACTGGAAGTTAAAACCAGCCTTTGGAGTGGGTTCAGAGAGACTGTTCAGACTCAAGATGCGGAAGCCGATGTTGCATGGTCGGAAATATCCTGATTGCAAGGGCATTTTAAAAGACAATGGCGCTCGGGGAAAAAGAATGCTGTGTGTTTAAGAAGAAAAAAATAAAAATAAAAAGAATGGAAACAAGGAAGAAAAAGTGACCAGAGGGTAGGGCAACCATATGTTCGTTCTGGTTTGCAAGGTACAGCTAAGGTTATGTCTGCTGTCCCGGTGCAATTATTAGTGTCCCCTTTCACTCTCCGAAGTGTCTGGATTTGGATGATAAAGCATATGATCACCCTATTAAAGAGAGGAAATTAGCCAGAAGACCTATGTGTCTATTTCAAACGGTGTGGATCCATCCGCAGCCGCGCTGGTGGCGCTGCCCAGCTGAGCGGTGTGCACCACCTCTGCCTAGCCCTACCCCGCCCTGCCCGGGTCTCCAGGAACGCTGGAGCGGAACCCTTGGCTCTTGCGCTGCTCTGGTGCCACCTACAGGTTATGTGTGGGAACTGCTTCTCCCCACCCCGCTACCCACCACCCCGCCTCCCCACCCCGACCCTGGACAGCCTTGGACTTGCCCAAAAGACATTCAGAGCACGCGAAGCTCCGGCTGGGGAGTGGGCTGGATCCGACAGTGAAGTCCACGTTACAGAATCAGACGGGCCCAGCTTAAACCAACAAAGCCCAGCTCCTCCTCTTCCTACCCACTCCTGTCCTGTCTCATTTTTTAGATGGGAAACTGAAGCCTAATTCAGATTTTTCTTCGGTAGTATTATGAAGCATACAGCTGGAGCCTCCCAGGTGCCATTCCCCACATCTCTGTCTTTCCCCTAACACACTAGGATAGTGGGGAAGCAAGATAAGCGTACTAAGCTCCTACTGTGTACTGGTCACAGAGTGGGCACTTTTCTCTCCAGCCTTGCAATTGATGGGAAATAGGTGATTATACAACTGGGATACAGGATTAGAGTGGGCTAGTGATGTGCTCACAGTCTCTCAGCTGAAACTGGAACCCAGGGGTCTTTGACTCTAAAGCTAGTGCTCTTTTTGGGTCTCCAGCTTGAGCAATAGTTGCAAAATGCAAAGAGCGCCATGAAAATCTAATATTGATCCGTATAAGATTGTATTGCAAACAGAAAGATGGAGTGTCTTCGTGGGGGTGACGGGGAGGGGGGAGATTATCTCAATTCTATGTAACCTGGGAACTCTCCAGGGAACATGAATGAAGCATGACTGAGTGCAATTTGTCTGATAAACAAAATCTGTCAGAACGTGGGGCCTTGTGGGTCCTGAGTGAAGGTAAAAAACCATGGTGCTGGACATTTCCTAAGGTGTTGTTTATGAAATTACTCAGGACCTCAGTGCCTCCACATTCTTCATGACCCTAGGCAGTTTCCCCATCTGTCTTCATTCTACTGCCTGGCATCCTATCCGTCAAACTGTTTTTAGATTTATGTCTCAATAAAATAAAAATCATGGTGGGAGCCATTTATACCCTAGTGAGAGTCATCTAAGATTCCCTTTTCTTCTCAGTCCTTTTTGCTGAAGTTGATTATGAGAGAGGATGGGGAGGGGAAAAGGGTCGGGGGAGCACTCTTGGAGTTTGCACTGTTTCCGGCTGACGCCCTGGCACAGTGTGATTATGTTAATCTAAATGGAGAACGCCATGCATGTTTCTCTCTATTCCCTTTGTCACCAATACCAATTCCCCAAGCAGAGCCCCGGGAGGGCTGGACTGAAGGAGCTGGAGGTATTAGAAAATGCTTGGCTTTGGATTTCAGGCCAAGTTCTGCCGGTGACTTGCTGTGTAAGATCAGACAAGTCAGTTCAGCTCTCTGCACTTCAGTGACCTCATCTGTAAAAGGCTGGTCTGAACTAGCTTATTAATTTTCTTTAGGTTTTGCTATTGTTTTTGTTTTAACATCATATTCAATTCTTCCCCCATCTTTATTAAAGTATATTTGGCAAATAAAAATTGTGTACATTTACAGCGTTCAGTGTGATGTTTTGATATATGCATACATTGTGAAATGATTAAATCAAGTTAATTAACATTTTAATCACCTCACATACTTTTATTATTATTTTTGTGGTAAGAACATTTAAGATCTCTTTGCTTAGAATAGTGTTTACTAGAGGTGAGGAAGAGTAAGGGGGAGGGGGTAACCAAGGGTTGGCTAACAGGTTAACAGATACATGAGTACATGGCTGAGTGCAGTGGCTCACGCCTGTAATCCTAGCACTTTGGGAGGCTCACTTGAGCCAGGAGTTTGAGACCAGGCTGGGCAACATAGGGAGATCCACTCTCTACAAAAAATTTAAAAATTAGCCAGGCATGGTGGTGCACGCCTGTGGTCCCAGCTACTTGGGCAGCTGCGGTGGAAGGATCACTTGGGTCCAAGAGGTTAAGGCTACAGTGAGTTGTGACTGCATCACTGCATTCCAGCCTTAGGGACAGAATGAGACCCTGTCTGGGGGACAAACAAAAACAAAAACAAAAACAAAGAGTACAGCTAGATAGGAAGAATAGTTCTAGTGTCTTTAGCACTATAGGGTGACTGTAATTAATGACAATTTATTATATAGTTTTGAATAGCTAGAAGAGTGGATTTTGAATGCTACCAGAACAAAGAAATGATAAATGTTTGAGGTGGTGGAGATGCTAATTACGATTTGATCATTACACATTGTATACATGTATAAAATATTATACCCCATAAATATATACAACTATGTGTTGATTAAAAATAATAAAAGCAGGCTGGGCACAGCGGCTCATTCCTGTAATCTCAGCACTTTGGGAGGCTGAGGCGGGTGGATCACAAGGTCAGGAGATGGAGACCATCCCAGCTAACATGGTGAAACCCCGTCTCTACTAAAAATACCAAAAATTAGCCAGGTGTGGTGGCATGGGCCTGTAGTCCCAGCTACTCAGGAGGCTGAGGCAGGAGAATCACTTGAACCCAGGAGGCAGAGGTTGCAGTGAGCTGAGATCGTGCCACTGCACTCTAGCCTGTGTGAAAAAGTGAGACTCCGTGTCAAAAAAAATAGTAAATAAAATAAAAATAGCCGGGCGTGGTGGCTCACACCTATAATGCCAGCACTTTGGGAGGCTGAGGCAGGTGGATCATGAGGTCAGGAATTCAGGACCAGCCTGGCCAAAATGGTGAAAACCCGTCTCTACTAAAAATACAAAAATTGGCCAGGCCTGCTGGCAGATGCCTGTAATCCCAGCTACTTGGGAGGCTGAGGCAGAGACTTGCTTGAACCCGGGAGGCGGAGGTTGCAGTGAGCCGAAATTGTACCACTGCACGCCAGCCTGGGTGACAGAGCGAGACTCCGTCTCAAAAAAAAAAAGAAAAAAATAATAATAAAAGCGAAAAATCTACTTTCTTAGCAATTTTCAAGCATACGTTATTATTAACTATAGTCATCATGCTGTACAACAGGTCTCCAGAACTAATAACATTATATTTAATTCTGATCAAAGTACTAGATACACAGAGTTAAGAACAAAATGGTATCTGGATCAAGAAATCCTCAGTAAAACAAGAAAAGAAGAAAAAAGAACAAAATGATAATAAAAGGCTTATATCAAAAACCATTTACTCTTCCCTTTCCTTTCTTGCCTTTGAGTTCTAATTCCCAGAGGCCATCTCTTTAAGCTGATTTTGCTACTTCCTCTGGTATTTATCTTTTTTTTTTTTTTTTTTTTTTTTTTTGAGATGGAGATTTGCTCTTGTTGCCCAGGCTGGAGTGCAATGGTGTGATTTCCACTCACCACAACCTCCACCTCCCAGGTTCAAGCGATTCTCCTGCCTCAGTCTCCTGAGTAGCTGGGATTACAGGCATGCACCACTACACCTGGCTAATTTTGTATTTTTAGTAGAGATGGGTTTTTTCCATGGTCAGGCTGGCCTTGAACTCCCGACCTCAGGTGATCCGCCCACCTTGGCCTCCCAAAATGCTGGGATTACAGGTGTGAGCCAAAATGCCCGGACTATCATTGTATTTCTAAAGAATGTTTATGTTGCTATTTCTTGATTTGTTTTCTTCAGTATCTGTCAATTCCTGGCATAGCACAGTATAGGGCTTACCTTCCTTATGAGGTCTTACTTTCCTTGCCTCCATTACACCAATTTGACTGGATCACAATTTTATGAAATCAAAAGCATTTACATTCTTATAGCTATGTAAATATTGTTCCCTAACCCAAGTTCCACACTGAAATTGTTTCATTTCTTTCCTTTATTCCCCCAGAGTTAATAATTGCTGTAGACTTTTTCCCTTCATTTGTTTATGTTTTTCTTTATTTTTATTTTTATTTTTTACCAATTACCTACCAATTTTTTCAGATGCTTCAACCAATCTATCAAATGCCTAGTGATAATTATCCAAAAACTAAGATACACTGGATACTCTATCAGCCCCATTATTTTCCTGGAGGCTTCTCTCTCTCCCTTGAACTCCATCCTTCTGCTCCAAACTGGACTCGGCTCTCAGCCCATGGCACAGCTGGCATCCTGGCATGTCTCTGCACCATCGTGTGAATTTCCTGCTGCCTCTTCTGTGTGCATCTCCTGTTCCCTGGCCCCAGATCTTCTTTTTCCTTGGTTTATCCTCTCACCGTGTTGCAGCACATCTTCCAGTGGCTTCCTGAGACAGAGTGAATGGAAGCCAAGTTTCCGACCCCACATATTTTAAAATGTCATTGTTCTACTCCAACTCCTGATTAATAGTTTGGCTGGAAATAATGCTCTAATTTAAACATAACTTCTCCTCACATTGGGAAATATTGCTCTATTATTTTCTAGTTCCCAGTGTTGTTGGGAAGAAGTCAGTGTCATGCTGAGTCTTGGCTCTTTATATATGACCTCTTTTCTCTCTATAAGATTTTAGGATTTTCTCTCTATCCTTGCTTTTCTGGAATTTCCCAATGATGTGCCTTGTTGTAGGTCTTTCTTCATTCACTATGCTAGTCACTCGGTAGACTCTTTGAACTGGAAAATTATATCCTTCTATTGTGGAAAGCCACCAGCAGGTTCATGTGAGCTGGGTAATCTCATTCTTTTCTTCCAAGGACAGAGGTATCAAGGCCCTGGGTACCTTATAAGTGGATGGGGAAAGGGCGCCTGAGGTGAATCCAACAAAGCTGCAGCACCCACTGAGCTCATGTCCCAGGGCTAGGCTCTGCCTGAGGACAGGAGACATGGGTAAGACCCACTTCCTGCCCAGTCCCATGGTGGGGCTCAGGACACACATGGTCCAGGAGGCCCCCAGTTCCGGGCTGCATTTACATGCACCTACCTGCATGCAGCATTCAGTGAGCCACAGGACAACTTAGGGGAAGGGGCAGCTCCAGAGAGCAGGACAGGAGGGAGGTAAATAATCACGGGGTGGGGAGTGGCCTTGTGGGGAAGGGGCAAAGGCAGGGGTGTGTGTGTGTGTGTATTGTGTATTGGGGGAAATGGGGAGACCATCTGTAGTTTTGTCTCCCCTTTTCTGGCTACTGCACCCGTTTTTTCATGAATAGTTTTTCTTTCCATCATGGACTGAATGTCTCTGTCTCTTCCAAATCCAGCCCTAACCCTCTCTGTGGCTGCATTTGGAGATGAGGCATCTCAGGAAGTCATTAAGGTTAAATGAGGTCCTAAGGGTGGGGCCCTGATTCAGTAGGATTAGTGTCCTTATAAGATGAGACACCAGAGAGTTCACTCACTCTCTCTCTCCTCACAAATACAAAGAAGAGGTCATGTAAGCATACAATATGGCAGCCACCTACAGGTCAAGAGGAGAGGCCACAGAATGAAACCTACCTTGCTGGCACTTTGGTCTTGGATTTCCCAGCCTCTAGAACTGTGAGAAATAAATGTTTGTGGCTTAAGCCACCCAGTCTGTGGTATTGTGGCATGGCACCCTGAACTGACTAATACATCTCCCCGCCCTACTTCAACCACATGACACTAGAGGGCTTGGCAGTTCTAGTGTCCCAGCTACCCAGCCAATCCAGACCAGACCAAGCAGTAACTTTCTTCTGGAATTTTCTGAATAGGAACTAATGGAGAGGAGCCCCATCCTTTCTTAGGGGCAAAGCCAGGAAGATGGAAGCCTCATGCTGCCAACAGCCTGATTCCAACCTTGTGAAGAAAGTTGCTCTGAGAGCACAAAACTGATCTGCGGACTGAGGTGGAGACAGAGACAAGGGAAGGAGCCTGCAAATCTTGACAGTGCTGGTGACTCTGAGTCCAGGTATTCCTGAGGCCCAGCTGTTCCCTGCCCTGCCCGTGGCTAACTTACTGAGCAATGAACTTCCCTTCTTGCCTAAGCCAACTCGAGTGAATTTTCTGTCACTCACACCCAAAGAGCCCTGACTGCAATGGCAGGGCATGGCAGGGCTGGGCTGGCCAGGGCAGAGGACAGTGTGGGTGGAATCAGCTGTAACAGGCACACGGGAAGTGCAGTTATCACATAAACTCCATGAGGTCTTCCTTCAGCCCTGACTGTGAGCAGGGCTGGGTCCATATGCTCAGTAGGTCAGAGTAAGGGATTTGGTCAGAGGTGCCATGCTCAAGGCCATCTTTCTATGGGCCAGACTCTTCAGCATCAAAGGCTTTGCCATCAGAGAGTTTTAGTCATATCTTGGGTTCACTTGATCAATTGCTGTTCTCCTACTTTCAGGATCTTTACACTAGGCTGCCCCACATGGGTGTTAGGAAGCCATAGACATCCTGGCCAGAAGCCCAGACCACAAAAAGCGTTCCTGCCCGCCTGCCCGGGGTTCCAGAGGGCAGGACCGATGGGTGGTGGGAGGAGCCCAGCCTGGGCAGTTGTGACATGTACACCACTCTTGATCTGTCTCCTGGAACTTTTCACCCCTCAAGTTTGGGCCCCAGTGGGGCACACATGGGAAAGACAATGAATGCCCATGTCTCCAACTAGTTTCCCCATCAGAAGTGGTTATTGCACCAAGCTCCCCACTCTATTAAAATTGCACAGACCAAGGGCCACTTTCCTAATGGATGGGTCTTCTTGGTCCATCTCTTGCTCCCAACAGAGCTCCCTCCCTGGGATGGGAATGTGCCATTCCAGGAGAGGCCTTTTGACCCAGCCTCCAGCCAAAGCCAGTCTCCCTGCCATGCAGGCCCTAGAGTTACACTGGAGGGTGACAGGCCTCACCTGGAAATTTCTTGCTGAAAATTGTCAGTTTCCCACACAAGTACGGCCTGGCAGTTTAATTCAAATTAAATTCAGAAGGAGACTGCTGCTTCAATCTCAACTGCTTGAAAATTAGGCCATATAGAGTTTTTGTTTGCTGGAAACTGTGGAGTCAGACATTGTGCAGATTGACCCAGTAGCTATAGCAAGTACACACATAGGGCGTCAACCAATGACAAGGGTGCACACACACACATGCACACAGCAGGAAATCGAGAAATAAACTATTTTAATGTCAGGTGTCATGGAAGTTTTGTGTCATTTCCCCAAAAACACACATTTTATTTTATGATTTAGTCTTGTTTTTATTTAGAATTACTTAAGGAAAAGGAGAGCTAAGTGCAGTGGCTCATACCTGTAATCCCAGCACTTTGGGAGGCTGAGGCAGGAGGATCACTTGAGCCCGGGAGTTTGAGACCAGCCTGGGCAACATGGTGAAACCCCATCTCTATAAAAAATACAAAAATTAGCCAGATGTTGTAGCGTCTGCCTGTGTCCCAGCTACCCAGGAGACTGAGGTGGGAGGATCGCCTGAGCCCAGGAGGCACAGATTGCAGTGAACTGAGATCACGTCACTGCACTGCAGCCTGGGCGACAGAATGAGATCCCATCACAAAAAGAAAGAAAGAGAGAAAGGAAGAGAGAAAAAGAAAAAGAGAAAAGAAAATAAAGGGGAGGGGAGGGGAAGGGAGGGGAAGTGAGGGGAGGGGAGGAGACAAGACGAGAGGAATAGGATCCTGATAGCTGGTATGGGGAAACTTAAGTGGATACATCTGAGAACTTTGAGCCTCCAGTTTCCACGGAATGCTCTGGGCTAAAAGAAGTAGCCCTCTTTCCTTGCTAAGAGAAGGGCAGCTGCCCCTTGCCTGGAGACTAGGCAAAGAGCCTCCAACAAGGCCTTACAGCAGGATGAGGTGTGTCATTATTGCTGCCCCACATTGACACCAGACTATGGCCTCATCATGGCCCAAAGTCACAAGCACAATCTGCTATGGGAGAATGATTTTTTTGCCAAAAATGTTGCAGGGGCTGCCTGGTGATAAAAATAAAAAATCCGTACTTAAAAGCAACACACCAATAGAGGCAAGCAAAACATGTTTTGCAAAAAACAACTATCAATGGTGATGGCACATGGATCTCCCCTTTCAGAACCCTGAGATTCTCAGTGCCGTTACCCTAATGGCTTTCTGCAGAGGAGGTAACTATCAGAATCACATGGAGAAGATCAGAGCCTGGAAGGAAACTTGAGATTTTTTTTATTACAACCTTCTTCATTTACACAGAGACAAAACTGAAATTCAGAGAGTTCTGGTTTCTCAAGGCACACCACTGGTCAATAAACACACAGAGCCAGAAGCTAGATCTAGCTCAGCGTTCTTTTAAAGCTTTAAAATTTCCTCTCTGCTAGTAAAGCTTACAGCCTGGCAAGAATATAATATATACACACAAATACAGTTATAATGGTGAAAACTTGGAAACAACTTAAATGTCCAACAATACAGGCATTAATTCTCTATAAAGTGAATATCAAATAGCCATAGAAAAGACATTAAAGACCCAGAAGTGTTGCTAATTGAGCAAAAATACATCCTTTCCGGTCAGATGCAGTGGCTCACACCTGTAATCCCAGCACTTGGGGGCTGAAGCGGGCAGATCACTTGAGTTCAGGAGTTTGAGACCAGCCTGGCCAACATACAAAACCACATAGTAAGGTACATAGATGTGCTTTGGTCAAGGAATAGGCCGAGGTGGATATCTAGGCCTGTGTGACTCACGAGTTTGGCGTGCAAGCACACAGCTCCACTTGTAATATAACCTGTTTGTGTAAGTTCATTCCTGGCTTTATGCCACTATTGTCTGTAAAAGGTATAACTGCCCTGTTGATGCCGTGCATAAGAGACATGGCTCTTCGGGGCTTGGCTCAGTTTGGCTTAACATGGCTTGACATGATGAGCACACTGGCACCCAGAGAAAGAGAGAGCCAAAGCTGTCCATCTTGCAGGCAGATGGGAGGGAGCCAGGACACAGCTGGGCTTGCTCATGCCCAGAGAGAGAAGGAGTTAAGCTGCTGACCCTGAAGGCAAGAGAGAGCTGGCTGCGCAGCTATGTGTAGGGGCAGCTGGCTCAAGCTGCTGAGACAGGCGAACAGTGGAAGAGTAAGCTGCTAATAAGAGAGCTAGTGTAAGAAAGCTGTTAATGAGAGCTGCCGCTGAATAAAACTATCTTTCACCTGCCTATGGCCCCCCGATTGTTCTTTCTGCTCACCCACCCACTCCCCTCAGACTTCACCATGGGCTGGACCTGGACCCTGGGATCTGACACACATCTCTGCTAAAAATACAAAAATTAGCCAGTGTGGTGGCCCATGTAATTCCAACTACTAGGGTGGCTGAGGCACGATGATCACTTGAACCCAGGAGGCACGGTTGCAGTGAGCCAGGATCATACCACTGCACTCCAGCCTGTGCAACAGAGCCTGACCCTGTCTCTAAATAAATAAATAAATAAATAAAGTGAAAGACCATTTGTCCAGTATAAACTCTTTCAAAATATATACTCAAGCACAGGAAAGTCTAGAAATGTCATCAATGGTAATTTCAGGAAAGAATTCTAAGGTGACTTTTTTTGGTTATCTGCATTTTTTGTTTTGTTTTGTTTTTTTGAGATAGGGTCTTACTCTGTCACCCAGGCTGGAACATAGTGATATGATCAGGGCTCACTGCAACCTTGACCTCCCAGGCTTAAGCAATTCTCCCACCTCTGTCTCCTGAGTAGCTGGGACTAGAGGCGCATGCCACCACACCTGGCTAATTTTTGTATTCTTGTATTTTTTGCAAAGATGGGGTTTTGCTGCATTGCCCAAGCTGGTCTCAAGCGATCTACCCATCTCGGCCTGCCAGAGTGCTGGGATTACAAGTGTGAGCCAAGTGTGCCAGGCCTACTTTTTTTTCTATAATGACCACGACCATGGGTTTCATGTACCAACTTTTTTTTTTAACAATAAGAGATACAAAGCATATTATGAAAAATGTTCAGGGAAAAAGAAGAATACAAAATTGTAAAAATCATATATAACTAGTTTTTTTTTTTTAAGGCAAGAAAGAAACAAAATAGATTGTCCAGGAAGATGGTTACTTCCACTTTGTATTTCTCTGGTGAACTCATTAGGAACTCTAAAAAGTTCCAGGAGTAGAATCACGGGGTCAAAGTACCCTGGCTATAACTTCCGATTCAGAGAATCCTAACAACTTACATTGTCACCAGCAAGGTCTTTGACTACATGAGCAACTCTCACCTTAAAGCATTTCTCATCTGACATTAGCTGCTTGGCTTTCTGTGGATACGTTGACTCCAGGAGGCTTCTTGAGTTCTGTGTGTTCGGCTGGCCTCCGGTGGCCCCATTATTATTTTCTGCCAGGTAAAGGTCAGTCACCTGTACACAGATCTCATCACTCATGATATGCTGCAGCTGGAATCAAACAACGGCAAGCTGTCAGTGAACACAGAAAACATTTCTCCATTACACAGTCAATGTTCCTTTGACTGATCCAGTCACTCAACTCAAAAGAGGTTTTGGTTTTATTTGGCTGGCAATTTTAGAAAATTCACCAGACAAACCACTGTATCATTTTCTTGGAGAATAATCAAGCTAAGTTTTTCAACCATATCAGTGGTTCATTGTAAAACTTTCATATCTATTTAAAATAAAAACCATAGAGAACTCAGGTTAATGTACTGTTTATTTAAAATTCTAAGGATCTTTAAATAATTTTCCATAGGTCATATTTTATTGCATTTTAAAATCATTTAGAATTTGCTTTCATACATATTCTCTCTCATTTGATCCTCACAACTTCCCTGGGAAGCAGGTTGGAGAGAGAGTTGGGACCTGTTAGGAGACAAATTTACACAATGCATAAGAAAGCTCACTGTGAGTTGGGGTGAGGAGGGGAGCCTTGGAGAATCATGAAAGCAATATCTATATCTTTATTCCCAGCCCAACTACAAAGCCTGAAACTCATTAGGTATTTAAGAAATAGCTGCTGAATTATTGCCTAGGGGTGCTCAGCTGAAGAAGGAGGGTTGGGACTAACAGTCAAGCTTCCTGACTCCTAGCCCAATACTTTTCCAAACACACCACCTATTTTTCTATATCTGATAGAAAGTACAGTGCTTAAGTTGTACATGATGTTATCTCACTTTTAATACAGGCCAATCATGATTGACTATATGTGGCTTTCATGACAATCTTAGGAAACTAATGACTAGAAAGTTGAACCTTTCAGAGTTCCCATTCTCATGTTATATGCTATTTCTATTTTGAAATAAAAATCCTTCCAAATGAAACTTTATCCATCAAAATGTCAGAGAAGTGAAAAATAGATGCAAGAAGAAAGCAAAACGTTAATTTCAATATCAGCCGGGTGTGGTAGCTCATGCCTGTAATCCCAGCACTTCGGGAGGCTGAGGTGGGCAGATCACAAGGTCAGGAGATCAAGACTACCTTGGCTAACACGGTGAAACCCCGACTCTACTAAAAATACAAAAAATTAGCTGGGCGTGGTGGCAGGCACCTGTAGTCCCAGCTACTCAGAAGGCTGAGGCAAAAGAATGGCATGAACCTGGAAGGCGGAGCTTGCAGTGAGCTGAGATCCCACCACTGCATTCCAGCCTGGGCAACAGAGTGAGACTCCATCTCAAAAAAAAAAATTGGGGGCCTGGTAGTTAAAAATCAACCCCTGACCTAACTGCTTGTGTTATCTATAGATTCCAGACATTGTATGGAAAAGCATTGTGAAAATCCCTGTCCTGTTCTGTTCCATTCCAATTACTGGTGCATGCAGCCCCCAGTCACATACCCCCTGCTTCCTCAATTGATCACGACCCTCTCACACAGACCCCCTTAGAGTTGTAAGCCCTTAAAAGGGACAGTCATTGCTTACTTGGGGAGCTTGGCTTTTGAGATGCAAGTCTGCAGAAGCTCCCAGCTGAATAAAGCTCCTTCCTTTTTTAACCTGGTGTCTGAGGAGTTTTGTCTGCAGCTCATCCTGCTACAATATGTCATGGACCAACCTCAAAAACATTAGCTAAGTAAAAAAGCCAGACACGAGACCACATATTGTATAATTCCATTGATTTGAAATGTCCAAAAAAGGCAAATTTATAGAGAAAGAAATGGGCTGATTTATCTCAAGAGGCAGGGATTCAAGCTTTCTAGACTATATGTGATACATAGATGAGAAAAAATAAGGAAAAGAAAATAAATTTAAATAGAAATAAATGAAAATAATACTTCTCCCTGATTATAAAGAAAATCATATTCTTTTTCTAATAATTTGGAAGACAAAATATGAAGAAAAGTCTTTAATTTTGCCACTCAAAACATTCTGCCTTGTTGCTTTTTATACTTTTTTATGCATATACACATTTTAAAAAGTAGAATCATTATATAGTCTTTTGTCACTATGTTTTAGGCATATTTCTATGGCAGTAAATCTATCCTTAGCATCATCATTTTTAATAGCTCGATGTATATTAACTTAATCATTGCCACCCCAGAAATAAATTTTCTTATATGTATATTTTTAGTGGATTAGAGCAAGCATTTTTGGATTTAATTCATAGAAGTAGAATTTCTGGAGGAAAATAACGTACAACAGTTTTAGGGTTTTTAATATAAATTTTCAAATTATCCTGCAGAAAAATTGGTTCAGTTTATACTCCCACCAACAGGGGCAGAGCTCCAGTTTCCCCCTCCCATTTGTCCTCTTCGCTGGTCTTTAAGCAGAAAATCTGATTGTTTTCATTACATTTATTTGGTTTCTAACGCTTTTGAATCTTTTTTTTTTTTTTTTTTTGAGATGGAGTCTTGCTCTGTCATCCAGGCTGGAGTGCAGTGGTGCAGTCTCAGCTCACTGCAATGTCTGCCTCTTGGGTTCAAGCTATTCTCTTGCCTCAGCCTCCAGAGTAGCTGGGATTACAGGTATCCACCACCACACCTGGCTAATGTTTGTATTTTTAGTAAAGACAGGGTTTCACCATGTTGGCCTGGCTGGTCTCACATTCCTGATCTTAGGTGATCCTCCTGCCTTGGCCTCCCTGAGTTTTGGGATTATAGGCATGAGCCACTGCACCCAGCCACCACAGCTAACTTCTTCTTTTTTTTTTTTGAGATGGAGTCTCACTGTGTTGCCCAGGCTGGAGTGCAGTGGCCCGATCTTGGCTCATTGCAAGCTCTGCCTCCCGGGTTCACGCCATTCTCCTGCCTCAGCCTCCCAAGTAGCTGGGACTACAGGCGCCTGCCACCATGCCCGGCTAATTTTTTTTTGTATTTTCAGTAGAGATGGGGTTTCACTGTGTTAGCCAGGATGGTCTCGATCTCCTGACCTCATGATCCGCCCGCCTCAGCCTTCCAAAGTGCTGGGATTACAGGTGTGAGCCACTGCGCCTGGCCGCAGCTAACTTCTAATGAGGCCACCTTAGACAAGTTACTTACTGTCTCTGAGTGCAGTGGTGCAGTAATGGCTCACTGTAACCTTGATCACCTAGACTCAAGAGATCCTCCCACCTCAGCCTCATGAGTAGCTGGGACTACAAGCCTGCACCACCACACCCAGTTAATTTTTCTAGTTTTTGTAGAGACAGAGTTTTGCTATGTTGCCTAGGCTGGTCTTGAATTCCTGGCCTAAAGCAATCCTCCTGCCTTGGCCTCCCAAAGTGCTGGGATTACAGGCATGAGCCACCATGCCCACATTTTCTTTTCCAAGCTATATAGAGGATGCTGTATGCATCCTTCTGGAACTTGTTTTTTTTCACTTAATATTATATTGCTAAGATTCATCCTTATTGTTGTTTATAGCTGGCATTCATTCTTTTTGTATGTTGTGACATCACCAGAAGATAGAGATCCTGAGATCTCTTAAGAACTGCTGCTGGGAGTATACACTGGTATAACCACTTTGGAAAACAATTTGGCTCCATCTCATAAGGCTGAATATTCATACTCCTCCCAGCTCAGCAATTCTACTCTACATCCAAAAGAAATTCTTGCCTATATAAAACAATATAAAACAGGGGATGTGGACAAGGAATGTTCCTAACAGCTCTGTTCAAAATAGCAAAAACCTATTTCCCATCAGCTGGAGAGTGAGCGACTAAATTGTGCTTTTTATTCCCTTTAATTTCCAGTAGTCTTAGGATGCAAGTGGCTTTCCCATGGCTAGCTTGGGGAGGGGGATACTCTTGGCAATGGAGTCTGGGGTGGCAGTCCTGATTAGCCCTAGGGCAATCAGTGCTGCCCAAAACAAGAGAAAATAGAACAAGGTGCCCCACTGAGCCAATGCCCTGGGTCCCTGGAGGTACAGGTTTGTACCTGGAGGAAATAGCCATCATACAAATCAGTCTTTTCAAATGCTTCTGTCACTGGGCTGAGTCCAAAGGACACCCTTTCCCAAAACATTACAAAGCTTATTGGGGCTACCATTTATTGAGCATTTATCATGTGCCTGATCATGTACTAGTGTAGTAATTGTGTGCATTATTTCATTTATTTATTTATTTACTTACTTATTCATTGATTTGAGATAGGGTCTCTCTCTGTTGCCTGAGCTGGAGTGCAGTGGCGTGATCATGGCTCACTGCAGCCTCAAACTCCTGGGCTCAAATGATCTCACCTCAGCCTCCCGAGTAGCTGGGAATACAGGCATAAACCATCAAGTCCAGCTAATTTTTTAAAAAACATTTTCGGGCCGGGCAGGTGGCTCATGCCTGTAATCCCAGCACTTTGGGAGGCCGAGGCAGGTGGATCACAAGGTGAGGATATCGAGACCATCCTGGCTAACATGGTGAAACCCCGTTTCTACTAAAAATGCAAAAAATTAGCTGGGTGTGGTGGCGGGCGCCTGTAGTCCCAGCTACTCCAGAGGCTGACGCAGGAGAATGGCATGAACCCAGGAGGCAGAGCTTGCAGTGAGCTGAGATCATGCCACTGCACTCCAGCCTGGGCAACAGAGCGAGACTCCATCTCAAAAAGCAAAACAAAAGAAAACAAAAAACATTTTCATAGAAATGAGGTCTGGCTTTGTTGCCCAGGCTAGTCTCAAACTCCTGGCTTCAAGTGATCCTCCCCCTTGAGCCGTATTATTTCATTTAATCTTCACCATCACCTTATAAGAGTGCTTGGGGGTAGGTGCTCCACACAGTAGCAACGTAGCAACCTCCACTCATAGTGACAACGAGACTCAGTGTAGTCAAGCAACTTCTCAAAGTTCACACAGCTGGAGGGTGGCTGAGCCAGGATGAAGACCTAGGACTCTAAAGCTGGTGTGCCAGTAAATGAGAAAAGTCTCTAAGCGTTCAGGATAGCTTCCTCCCAAGAAATCTTTCTCCAAAAGTTCTAAAAACAATGACAGATCCATCTTTTATAAAGCAGACAAAACTAGCAGTCCGTTCCTTTTAGAGTGGGGTGTAAAGGTTAGCTAAGCTCCAGGGCATCCCATTTTAATCCTATATATTTATAAGGCAACTGCCAGCAGAGCACCCCAAACCTAAAGAACCCTGCACAGCTGTCTCTGTGGGGCATGGCGTGTCCATGGATGTAAAGATTTTCCAATGTGTGCTTACGGGCCTGTGGCATCACCCTCAGTCACTGTCAAAGGGTAGCTAGGCCCTGCCCGCTAGGCACCATCCTGAGAATCTGCTGAGCTTTCTAACTAGTTTATCTGTTGTTTGCAGTGAAAGATGCCCTGAAAAGAAGGGGTGTGGGTGGGAAGAGTTCTGATTTGAGGTCCCCTGATCCAGGCATGCTCTTCTTCCCCAGTTGCAGGAATCAGGGGACTCTATCTGTAAATGCGGGCTCAAGCCATGCCCCCCAGCTCCCTCTTTCAACCAGGTGCCACCCTCTGCTTCTCTTCCATAGACAGCCTAGAGCTGCCAGCAGTCCCTTAGGATCTGTGGCCTCAGGCCTGGCTTAATTTTTTCCTCTCCAAAGAGCCATCTGTAGGGCCAGAGGCCGTCAAAGCCTGACTCATTACTGGATGCCAGTTCCTTTGCCTGACCTTCAGTGATTCCTACCTTACCCTGCGGTTTTATGTTTCTTGTCTCAACACTATTATTTCTTATTTCTCCACAAGTTGAATTGCTCACTCCAGCCCCTCGAAGCATGCTCTTTTTGACACAGTTAGCTTTAGGCACATGGTTGGTGCTAAAAAAAAAAAAAAAAAAAAAGAGCATTATGTCGTTTTCATTGATTAACAAACGTGATGGCTTCACTGCAAAGTAAAGTTGATACTGCCTGGACCCCTGAGTTCAAGAGTCTTTTAGACAAATGGCTCTGAGCTAAAACATGAGCATGCAAACATATGCATCTGTTTCGGTCTGATGAGATAATTTGGATACTTGGTTGTTATCCTTGAGCATTTTCCTGCCTCATTAATGCATGTGTAGCCAGCACAATAATAATCATAGCTAATAATGGCTAAAGCTGAGGGCTTTCCTGAGCCAGGCAGTGGCTTTAAAACTTTAAAGTGGCTTTTAAAACTTTAACAGCTAAAGCTGAGGACTTTCCTGAGCCAGAAAGTGGCTTTAAAACTTTAAAGTTTTCACATGGACTCTCATTGAATAATTTCTGTTTTTCAGATCAAGAAACTGAGACTTACTATCACATTTGGGATTAAGTTAAAAAAAAAAAAAGAAACTGAGGCTTAAAGCTGTCAAGCATTTCACAGCCAGCAAGCAGCTAAATCGGAACTTGAACCCAGGCAGTCTAGCCCTGGGATCCTGTGCCCTTCCTTACCCATTATCCAGTGTTGGCTACACAAAACTAATGAGTACATATTTTCAACTATAGTTTAAGTGGGTGACATATTTTTCACTATATTTTATGTAGGTGACTTTCAGTTTGGGGGTATTCTACTTACACAATCTATTGAGCTGGATATTACTGAGAACAAAAAGAAACTAATGAACTCTGAAAAACATAAAACATGAGCAACATGACATCACTGCAAAAGACAAAACAGCACATAGCCTTCTTGTGACTGTATTTTGCTGACAGTCCATGAGCTGATAGCCTGAACTCAGCAGTGCTGTTCCCTTGGGAGACACACACACACACACACACACACACACACACACACACACACGAGTTGGTGGTTTTGTACCTCCCCCCGCCCCTAAATACACACACACCAGTTGGTGGTTGTGCAGCCTGGAGCTTCCAGTCCGCGAGTGTGAGGAACGGACTAGATGGGTCCAGCAGTGCTGGGTCAAAGCCAGGAGGGGGCAGCCGGAAGCGCGCACATGCTCTGGACTCGTGCACCCGCCGAAACGGGTGCGCACCGGGCGCGCGGGGGTGAGAGGTGAGGGGTGAGGGGTGAGGGACGAGAGGGACGGGAGCGGGGTAGGGGCAGCCCTTTCCCAGGCGGTAGCGGGGGCGGTGGTGCTGTTGTCCTTTTAAGCTGTGGCTTGACAGGAGGAGCGCCTCCTGTCGGTGGAGTCTGTTACAAGGGGAGCAGCCGCCCAGGCCGCCACACAGCTCCCCGCAGAGGCCTCGGTGCCCCTTGCCATTTTCCAGCCCTACTCCGACTAGAGTTGAGGCAGCGGGGAGAGGCGGAGCCGCGAGAGCGCCGCCGAGAGGTCCCGCGGGTGGTCGCGGCCATGACAGCGGCTCCCGACCGGCTCACCTTCCGCGCCCCTCCCGCCAGAGGTGAGAGTAAAATGTCCGTGTCAGGGTTCAAGGCCAAGCTGAAGTTGTTGTCCTCTATTTTCCACAAGAACCAGGAGCCGCCGCGGCAGCTCAGGCTCCACTGCAACATCACGGTGAGGCGCCCAGCGGCGGCTTCACACGGCAGGGCGAGGGCGGAGAGGAAGAGCCCGGAGTCCCGGGACAAAGGGGAACCTGCCCAGGAGAGGCCCCGGTTCCCCGGGCCGGGTGAGCGCGCACCTTTCTCCCGCGACTGGCCTGGCCCCGATCGCCGGGACTGCGGGAGGCTTGGGTGGGAGGAGGGGGAGGGCGCGTCTCTCTGGCTCCTTGCTGCGGGGCTGGCTTGGGGGCTGCCGGCACCTCTCGCCCCAGTCACCGCGCCCCGAGGTGGGAGCCCGCGTCGCCCGCAGCCCTTTCGGGGCCCATGGTCGCCCTCAGTCAGCCAGCCTGCTCCCCGGGACCGCGACGGGGCGTGGCAGGGCGTCTCCGGCTGTTGTTTGAGCCCGGGCGGGGAAGGGGAAAGGCCTTCAAGATTTTCGGGGTTTTGGCCGGGCGCAGTGCTCGTTCCTGTAATCCCAGTACTTTGGGAGGCTGACGCAGCTGGATCGCCTGAGGTCAGGAGTTCTAGACTAGCCCGGCCAACATGGTAAAACCCTGTCTCTACTAAAAATACAAAAATTAGCCGGGCATGGTGGCAGGCACTTGTTGAGATGGAGTCTCACTCTGTCGCCCAGGCTGGAGTGCAGTGGGGTGATCTCGGCTTACTGCAGCCTCCGTCTCTTGACAGTCCATGGGTTCAAGCGATTCTCCTGCCTCAGCCTCCCGAGTAGCTAGGATTACAGGCTCCTGACACCACGCCTGGCTAACTTTTGTGTTGTTTAGTAGAGACAGGGTTTCACCATGTTGGCCAGGCTGGTCTCGAACTCCTGACCTCAAATGACCCATCTCTGCCTCCCAGAGTTCTGGGATTACAGGCCTGAGCCACCGCGCCCAGATCCAAGGCCCTTAAGCTTAAATGCCTCGTTCTTCAGTCAGGTTTTCCTTGTTCCCGCATGTTCAGCCAATCGTGTTTAAGGAGAAACTAACAATGAAAACGGGCTTGTTGATGGAGGAAAAGTTGGAATGCAGCCTCTGGTGCTGTTTGAGCGATCCCTCTATCCCGGGTCGCTGCTGTGTTCTGGAAAGGCACATTGTACCCTGGATGCAGCAGGTAAGAGTCCTGTCCAGGTGCTCTGCCCGCTTTCCTTTCAGGCTTCTGTATCATCTATTTTTCCCCTGTAGAATGTGCCCCTGACAGCCACCCCCTAACCCTACCCAATTTGTCTTTACATGTCTGACCATCAAGGCTCTTCTGGGTCATATTCAGTTCATGCTGATATTTCCCCTTCCTCCCCTCTTTAGTCCTCACTATTTTTGCTTTGGTCATGTTATGCTGTATTCTGTAAGGCTTTTTAATTTTTTTTTTATGATGGCAGGGGAGAATAGTTTATAATTATGCTTTGTGCTTTTTATCTTCTACTCAATAAATGCTTGGTAAATATTTGTTTTATTGAATGTATGACCCTATTCTAGCTATATTGTGCTTGAACAAAAACCTTAACTGCCTTGTAAGTTAACTGCTAAGAATTTGTCAGAAGTGCAGACATAACATCAAGAACTTGTCATGGATAGTACAAAAAGGTCTCTAAGGGCTTGATGGAGGCCTGTAAATTGACTTCCTATGAAAGAGAGTGTAAGAAGTGAAAATGTAAAGCATGACTGGAGAGCCAGAGTGATGAAGCCAGGGTCCCTTTCTCCAGATCCTTTGTAACAGTGTTATGTGATCTCTTCTAGAAGATCGTTCTGAAAGATAATGCCAACTTGGAACCTAGGAAACCATCCAGTGGGTTTCTGCAGCTTAGGTGGTTCAAATCCTCATCAGCACCTTTGTTTTCTCTGCCTCAGTTTGCTAACAATGATGTTCTCAGTAGCTGTAATTGCTGTCTTTGAATACGTAAGCATTTTTTTTTAGATGACAGGGATATATGTGCATTTTTATTTTACCAAGTGTTAGAATTTTTACTCTGCTTTTGTGGGCTCTGGGTTAGCTACTTGGTTGTTTAGATGTAAAATGATTAGCAGGGAAAACTCTGTGTGTGTGTGTGTGTGTGTGTGTGTGTGTGTGTGTGTGTGTGTGTTATAAGTTTCTTTTGTTGTCAGAGGACTTAGAATTTTATTTTATATGGTAATTCTGTCAATTTACTTTATTCTCCACCCCACATTTATTGAACAGCAAAGTATGAAAGTAACGTGTCCCATAACCAGCCTTCAGAAAAATTACAACTGCTGTATATCTGAAATTCTTTTTTTCTTTTTTTAATTTTGAGAAGGAGTCTCACTCTATCACCCAGGCTGGAGTGCAGTGGCACAATCTCGGCTTACTGGAAACTCTGCCGCCCACGTTCAATCGATTCTCCTGCCTCAGCCTCCTTAGTAGCTGGGATTACAGGCATCTGCCACTGCACCTGTCTAATTTTTGTAATTTTAGTAGAGTCGGGTTTCACCATGTTGGCCAGGTTGGTCTTGAACTCCTGACCTCATAATCTGCCTGCCTTGGCCTCCCAAAGTGCTGGGATTACAGGCATGAGCTACCGTGCCTGGCTGAACTTGCAAGAAAAATATGTGCATCAGTTTTCAAAAAATTATATCAAAAGATAGCTGTGCCCTACATTTGGAAAGATACAAAAACCTAACATACCGGCAGGCAGTTTTGCTTGCTGGTGCTTGAGATAGAGCCACACATTGGTCTCAGTGGATTTATGGAGAAAAATAGATACAGAATATTGTTTCTAATTAAGACCAAAAAATCCTTTTCTTAAGCAGTGACAGGTAAAGAGGTTGTCTTGGCTAACCTTGAATTGTGTTGCCCTTGATTGAGACAGTTTTATGGTGGGGTTGGTAGTGGTGATAAACTTGTTTGAAATTTGTCTGCTTATAGTAAGCTTTGTGGTAGCTGTCACAGAGAACTTCATCCTCACAGGCCCTAAAATTACTATAAAACTAATAGAATGGAGGAGAAACAAAGGACCTGAATAATTAGATGCTTAGATAATTGTTCTGTGTTTTCATAACCGGTGAAAAAGAGCAGTGTTAGAAGTACTTAAACATTCCATGTAGGGAACACTGCCTGAATTTATATTGTGATTTTTGAGCATCATTCACTGTTTAAAAACAGGCATATTGTGGGTCGTATTTTAAAGACAAATAGAAAACTTATCTTTTCAAGATGGATCTAAAGCTTAACCTTATCAAAATTACAAAATGTAAAGGATATGATTGAAAAATATTAATGCATAGGTTTAAATATTGGTCATCATTTTAGATTTCTTTCAAAATAGGTTGTCTCTTAAATATTAAACTGAACAAACATTGAACATGTTGTAGAGTTTGTGCTCAAGGTTAAGTTTCCTGGGGTGATGGATATTTTATAATATGGGTAACAAAAAGTTCTTATTTTAAGAAATTTAGAAAATTTTTAGGCAAAACTAGAAAGTAATACCAATAATTCTACCACTCAGAATGTACCACTATCAGAATTTTGTATCTTTCAGTCATCTGCTCATCTCTTTTCTCCTTTGCTTGTATGTGTTCCCTCTCCCTTAAAAAATCAGATTTTTTTTTGTAATCTGCATGTTCACTCAACAATATTGTAGATTTGTGTCATAAGTTACTCCTCTACAGTGCCTTCAGTTATTGTGTGCTTTGTGTTGGATGACTGTACCATCTAGTCTTTCATGTTTCCTGGTACTGACTACATAGGGGTGAGAGAGAGAGAGAGAGAGAGAGAGAGAGTGTGTGTGTGTGTGTGTGTGTGTGTGTGTGTGTATTTTTTTTCTACCTTAACTAATGCTTTGGACATCAACAGGTAGAGCTAAATCCTTGAAACCTTCCAAGTGGTGGCTTTCAGTTATTGCTGCATTGGTTTCTAGAGATGGAACAAATTATATTGTATGGAAACTTTTTTTTTTTTGAGACAAAGTCTCACCTTGTCACCCAGGCTGGAGGGCAATGGCATGATCTTGGCTCACTACAACCTCCACCTCCCAGGTTCAAGTGATTCTCTTGCCTCAGCCTCCTGAGTAGTTGGGATTACAGGTGCCTGCCACCATGCCTGGCTAATTTTTGTGTTTTTACTAGAGATGGGGTTTCATTATGTTGGCCAGGCTTGTCTCGAACTCCTGACCTCAGCTGATCCACTCACCTTGGCCTCCCAAAGTACTGGGATTATTGGCATGAGCCACCACACCCAGCCTTTTTTTCTTCTAGGTACCAGCTTTTATTTATCAGATTGGTAAAAATGTTAGAAAGTATGCAATGAAATGGGCATTCTCACAGTCGTGGCAGAAAGTATAATTATCTTGACTTTCTAGAAAGCATTTTGGCTTTCTAGAAACTTGCCTAACCTCTTCCCATTTAGGCAAGATGGATTCTGACTACCCCTAGGTGGCCAACCTTGTCCCTGTGATTCCATCTCTCCCAAAAGGAGAGGTCTAGTCTCAGTGAAAACCCAGGTTTTCTTGGCTTAGCCCACCTGACAGCTAATCACTGGAAATGGGGTGGGCCAGTAGAGTCCTTTGGTTAGGTTTTGTGTCAAGAGAGGGATGTGGAAAGACGGGAGAGAGTTAGCAAAACTGGCCTCAATGGAACTATGTAAGTTAACATAGAATGGTAAAGGAATGTTTCTTCCAAGGAAGAAATTCTAGGGAAGGAAGAAAGTGGAGGGGAAGGCAGCAGTTCTCAAAGTTTTGGGGTCAGGATTCTTTTACACTCTTAAAAGTATATTGAGGGCCCAAGGAGCTTTTGTGTATGTAGGTTATATCTATTGGTATTTATCACTAGAAATTAAATCAGAAATACTTAAAATATTCTTTAAAAGCTCACCAAATATTGTTATAAATGCTTTTATGAAAAGAAAATTTCTAAACTCAAAGTAGTACAATCTTACATCTTTTGCAAATTTCTTTGATGTTTGATATGTCATTTGTACCTGCATTCAATTTATTGAGTGATATTTGCTTGAGAAAATGTGAACAAAGGCTAATCTCATACAGATAGGCATTTTAGATCATTGTGGATACTTCTTTTTCTTTTTCTTTTTTTTGAGATGGGGTCTTTCTCTGTCTCCCAGGCTGGAATGCAGTGCTATGATCACGGCTCACTGGACCCTCAGTATCTGGGGACTCAGGTGCTCCTCCCACCTCAGCCTCCAGAGTAGCTGGGACTACAGGTGTATACTACCCCACCTAGCTCATTGTTTGTATTTTTTGTAGAGACAGGGTTTTGCCATGTTGCCTTGGCTTCTTTTTTGATACTCCATCAAAACTTGATTTTTCTTGAACTTTGGATCTTTTACCCTTGCATGATATTATAACATCATGCATTGTTCAGTTCAAAAATAATGGTTCACTGAGATCTTCTATATATTGATATGTTTGATTATATGATATCAAAATACACTCATCAATATCACCATCAATCTCATCAGAATACTTCTGGAAAGTGATGGTGGATATAAGTTTTCTAAAATTCTAATTTTTTTGTTCAAAAGCTTGAGTTTTAGTATTAGCAATTTTATTGTTGAATTTTATTATGGCCTGTCTGTTGTTTTCCTTGAAATAACAGAATCTCCTTTTTTTTGAGAAAATGTCTCCCAAAACCCAAGCTGAAATAAAATTTTTTCAGTCATCATTTGAAGTAAAAATGATATTCCATTAAAGTGGTTAATTCACTTCATAACTTAGTCACATGAGGGTTTTTTCTCAGGCAGTCTGTAGGAATGCTCATGTATACTTCCCATTTCATCACTTGAAATATTAAAAAGATATATTCAAGGATTAAGATGTAAAATTTTCACTGCTTCATCATAGACATTCTTTTTATTTTTGAGACAGGGCCTTGTTCTGTCACCCAGGCTGGAGTGCAGTAGCATGATCACAGCTCACTGTAGCCTCAACTTTCTGGGCTCAATCAATCCTCCTGCCTCAGCCTGCCAAGTAGCTGGGACTACAAGCATGCAACCACCATGTCCGGCTAAGTTTTATATTTTTAGTAGAGACGGGATTTCACCGTGTTGGCCAGGCTGCTCTCAAACTCTTGACCTCAGGTGATCTGCCCACCTTGGCCTTCCAAAGTGCTGGGATTACAGGCATGAGACACCATGCCCGGCCCTCCCTTCCTTTTTACACCTTTAAACCTTTCCCGTGCACAGTAGTCATACCATGACTACTAGTAGTTTGGTGTTACTGCCTTTATTTATGCTAAAGTACCAGCATTTTTACCCACCATTGTATCTGCACCCTTACAGCAAATGTCACCATGTTAGTATTCCTGTCAAAATAGTTTGGACCTGGGGGTCTGAGGGCCAGACTTTGTGAACCATTGAAATAGGTACTTAAACCTACTATATATCATATCTTTTCATCTACAAGATTTTTAAAAACTTGATTTCAGTTAATGTTTTTGTAATTTTTAAAATTTGGTTTTGAGGGGTTTCACTCCAGAGCAACAACATGTATTTTATTTTGCTTATGCTGAAGTTTAGTAGACAGATACTAACCTAATAGAATGAGGTCCTAAATCTAGTTGCAGTTTCTTTAGCCAAAACAAACAAACAAACAAACAAAAACCCCCAAAACTAAAAATGTGAAAATGGTCCATATGTTGTATTCCCAATGTATGCTGAAGAATTTGGAGATGAAAATGCAATAGTCAGTAAGTGGTATTCTTTAAGAATAGGATTGTCACAGGCATGGAGGCTCACACCTGTAATCCCAGCACTTTGGGAGGCCGAGGTGGGCGGATCACGAGATCAGGAGATCGAGACCACCCTGGCTAACATGGTGAAACCTCATCTCTACTAAAAATACAAAAACTTAGCCAGGCATGGTGGTGGGTGCCTAAAGTCCCATCTACTCCAGAGGCTGATGCAGGAGAATGGCGTGAACCCGGGAGGCGGAGCTTGCAGTGAGCTGAGATCGCACTACTGCATCCAGCCTCTGGGTGACAGAGCAAGACTCCGTTTCAAAAAAAAAAAAAAAAAAGAATAGGATTAACTCTGAAGAGTTTCTTTTAGACTGTAAAGAGATTTGGGACACTATAAGAGAGGAATGAGAAGAATGAGAATAGTAAAATCATTATTGAATAGATATACTGTTAATGATATGCTCCTTCAATACAACTTGTTTTTCTTTTCTTTCTTTCTTTTTTTTTTTTTTTTTTTGAGATGGAGTCTTGCTCTGTCACCAGGCTGGAGTGCAGTGGCGCTTCTCAGCTCACTGAAACCTGGGTTCAAGCTCTTACCCTGCCTCAGCCTCCTGAGTAGTTGGAACTACTGGCACATGCCACCACACCTGGCTAATTGTTATTATTTGAGTAGAGACGGGGTTTCACCATGTTGGCTGGGATGTCTCGATCTCCTGACCTCGTGATCTGCCCACCTCGGCCTCCCAAAGTGCCGGGATTACAGGTGTGAGCCACCGCACCCGGCCAACTTGGTTTTCTTAAAAGAACCTTTGGTAAATATTTGGTTTCTGTGGCTTCAGCTATCATTCAGATTACAGTTTTTAAAGCAATATTTCCTAAAGTAGTTTGTGCGAAATGGTTTTGCATGACTTGAACCTAGTTCTTCTGAAGCTAATATATAATAATAATGACTTTTCCCCAATTTATAATGGAAAATCCTAGAACAGAGTAAATGTCTATTAGTGGGTGAAAGCACATAATGCTTACTTCATTAGCTTTTAAAAAAAATCACATGTAATTGTGTTCTGAAAATACATGTATAGTAATGGCATTTTTGGTATTACTTGGTTTGTGTGATAGAATAAAATATTAGAATTTTATGCTGTTTGAATTAGTTATCTATTGCTCTGTAACAAATTTAGCAGCTTAAAACAACAAACATTATCTCACAGTTTCTGTGGGTCAGAATTCTGTGCAGTTTATCTTGGGTTCACTGGCTTGGTCTCTCACCAGGCAGTGAAGGTGTTGATGGCGGCTGTGATCATCCCAAGGCAGGATAGGGAGAGAATCTGTCTCCAAGCTCACACTGGCAGGATTCACCTCAGAGGCTGCTGGACTGGGCCTCCGTTTCTAGATGGCTATTGGTCAGAGGCCTTTTACAATACCTTGCCATGTGGGCCTCTCCATAGGGCACCTCATCACATGGCAACTGGCTTCCATCAGAGGGAGCAATGGAAAGAGCAGGAGAAGGGTGACCAAAGCAGGCATCGTAGTCTCCTTGTAGCCTCATCTCAGAAGTGATGTTATTACTTTTGCTGTATTCTCTTTGTTAGAAGTGAGTCACTAGGTCCAGGGGTGGAATTTTACAAGGGTGTGAATGGCAGGAGGTGAGGGTGATCAGGGCCATTTAGAGGCTGCCTACCAGTGTTGAAGAAAATTGTTGACTTCTATGAGCTGTAGCAGCAGACAGTGCTATGCAAGGAGAATGGCTGTTTCAGAAGTCCAGCTCCTCACATGAATTTAATGTGTTGCCTTTTCCCCCATACATTTTGTTTAAATCCATGGTCATCTTGCCATTTAGTGGTGTGGTTTAATTGCATATTTGGGTTAGTCTGTATGTAATGTTTAACATAGGTGTCTCTGTGTTAAACAGGAATCCTCTTCATTTTCTTTACCAATATGGTTTGTGGACTATGATGAGCCAAATCTGACATCAGTTCTGGAATGTCTAGAAGATGCTAAGAAAAACAATTCAGTGAGGAAAGAAGCCAAGCTATTTTCTCTTTTCCTCATGAACATTATATTTAGAAATTAAATATTAAGATATGATAAAAACAAAAGCATGATTAATGACTATAATATTAGAGGAATTAAAGTCTGGGTATTTTAAGTCCTTCCAATCTTACTTACTACCTGGATTCTCTTTATTATTTCCCACATGTATAACCTTAGTTTAGATTAGGAATTCAGGATCTCTTTTTCCCTGAATTCTAACCATTAAGCCAAGCAAGCATTTTGGGTAGTGACCACTAGCCAAGGTGGGAAGTAGAAAAAAGACCAAGGTGGAAGTGAAAGGAGAGAAGGGGAGAATGACACCAGAACTAGTGGGAGGGGATTGCCTTTTCTTTCAAGGGTCTGTAAGTCTGCAGTAAAAGTCAAAGGTATTCAAATAGGAAGTTTTGTTCTTGTTTTAGTATATAAAGAAGTACAACTTTCCATGTTGGAAAAATTTTAAAAACCTTTTTTAAATTATAAAACTCATAAGCAACCATTGTTGAGAAAATTAGTAAAGTACAGAAAAGAGAAAAGAAAAAAATTAAAGTCTCCCATAATTTATCTACCTAATATAACCACTATTGACAGTTGACATGATGGCCATTTTCTGCCAGTATATATTTTTTCTTTGCTAGTAAAATACATAACCCTTATACATATGTTTAAATAGTTGAGGTCATATTCTCTATAGTTTTATATTCTTTTTCTTTTTTTTTTGTGACAGAGTCTCACTCTGTCACCCAGGCTGGAGTGCAGTGGCATGATCTCAGCTCACTGCAAGCTCTACCTCCTGGGTTCCCACCATTCTCCTGCCTCAGCCTCCCCAGTAGCTGGGACTACAGGTGCCCACCACCATGCCCGGCTAATTTTTTGTATTTTTTAGTAGAGATGGGGTTTCACCATGTTAGCCAGGATGGTCTCGATCTCCTGACCTCGTGATCTGCCCACCTTGGCCTCCCAAAATGCTGGGATTACAGGCATGAGCCACTGTGCCCAGCCATTTTATATTCTTTTAAAAAGTATTTACTGTATTTTCCCAGGATGTCATAGTCTTTATAGAAAAATAACAATCATTATTTTCAGTTGACATGATTGTTTACCTAAAAATATCCAAAGGAACCAACTGAAAAAAAAATTTTAAGATTACTGGTTAAAAGTTCTTTTATATAAAAATCAATAGCCTTCCCCAATGTTAGCTATAATCACATAGAAGATATAGTGATGAAGTATTTTTTCAGGTATTTCAGCAAAAATTAAATACCTAGGAATAAACTTAGATGTGCAGGGCTTTTATCAAGGACAGGACAAAATTTTGCTGAGTGGAATGAAAGATTTGCATTCTATGTTCCTGGATGAGCAGATTTCATGTTATAAATATGTTAGTTATCACCATGTCTTCATATTAATTTATAAATGTAATTTCTGCTGGGCACAGTGGCTCATACCTGTAATCCAAACAGTTTGGGAAGCTGAGGCGGGTAGATGACAATTAGCTGGGTGTCTGTGGCACACACTTGTAGTTCCAACTACTCATTAGGCTGAGGAGGGAGGATCACTTGAGCCTGGGAGGCAGAGGTTGCAGTGAGCCGAGATCATGCCTGTGAACTCCAGCCTAGGTGACAGAGTGAGACCCTGTCTCAAAAAAAAAGAAAAAAGAAAAAAAAGTGTGTGTATATATACACATTTTGTATTTTATATATATAAATTGTGTATGTATGTGTATATATACAAATTTCAGTAGAAATTCCAGCAGATTTATTTTTGGCACTTGACAAAATGACTCTAAAATTTGTTTAGAAGAGTAAATAATAAAAAATAATAAAGTATAAACTCTTTCAACCAGATATTAAATAAAATATTGTGGACTAGCCCTGGGCCAGACAGATAAAGGTAATGGAAGTTTAAAACCAGAGTCATGCAAATGAGAATTTAGTATAAGGAAAAGGTGGTGTTTTAACTTACTAGTGAAAAGATAGATTATTCTATAAATAGTTTTAGGAGAACTGGCCATTTGAGGAAGTTTGAGTCTTAACTTCAATTTTTGTCAAAATAAGTTGTAGTAGGTTAAAACACATCTATTCTTAAAAATTAGAACGGAACAACATTGGTTTGAAGATGTTTTAAGAGTTAAGGCTGAGGCTGGGCACAGTGGTTCACACCTGTAATCCCAGCACTTTCAAGGCCAAGGTGAGAAGATTGCTTGAGCTCAGGAGTTTGAGATCAGCCTGGGCAACATAACAAGACTCTCTCTCTCTCTCTTTCTAGACATAGATATACATATAAACACACATACACATACAAAATAGAGTTAAGTTTTGTATGGAGAGCCATGAAGATAAGAGGTAAAAATTAAAGGCTTGATGGACACATGTTTACATCTCCAGCAAGGGGGTTGATAGAAAGAATGATAGACATAGCTCCATTACTGCTACCTCCTTTTAGGAAGCTGCTTCTGAATATCTAAAGATAACAGTTTTATAATAGCAGAAATGAGGTTTTTTTCAGTGTCTAAAATATTACATAACATACATACAACATAAACATGTTCAAAACTTAAATGAAGTAGGATATAAATTTGGGCCTAGTGTTTAAAAAAGTAAATGTATTTACATGAAGGAGAAAACAACTCACCTCCCACTCTTAGAGCCTCTGCCAGTTTATCATAACCTAGTTTCTTGAGAGAATAAGCTACATGTCTTCACCTTTTTTCACTGAGCTCATTATACTCTGGATTCTGCCTTCATCGTTGCGCTAAAATTTATCTCCTAGTTGCCAAATCCAGTGGCTCCCCTCTTAGTCCCCAAATTGACCCCTCTGCAGTATTTTGTTAATGTTGATTGTTCCCTTGTTGAAACATTCCTCCGTTCTTAATGTCCACCAATAAAGAGTTGGTTAAATAAAAATTATAGTGTACAGTTTTATAATAGAATATTCTGTTGTAGACCAAAAAAAATGCAGCCAGTCTTTCCATAAGAGCATGTGCAAACTTCTAAGATATATTAAGTAAAAAAGTAAGGCATAAAATATTATATATAATCTGACCCCTTTAGTATACAGTGTAAAAACATCTATGTCTGTGCTAGTTTATACTTGCTTTTTTCTCCCCTGTTGGATACAGGGAACTGTGAATAGTAGAACACAATTAAAAAAGACTGTGTGGCTTCTGTGCCAGGACCTGTGATAATTGGGTATAAAAGACAAAAAAGGTATTTCCCTATCCTCTGGGAAGGGACGTGATAATCAACTGGGACTTTTATCAGATTATTTTCTCCTGTTTTGATCTTATCACCCTGCCTTGGTCTCCTCCGAGCTCTTCTTCCTTGGCCTACTTCTTTCTTCTCTTCTCATTCTGTGCTTTCTCTGAGTAGTCTTTGACTCCCATTACTTAAGTCATGACCTGTGTTCCAGGGATTCCTAAATCTGTATTCATCTCCAGAGTTTCATACCCATATTTCTGTCTGTATATCATATATGTTAGGGAATCTCACTTGGCATGACGTGGGTGTTCAAGATGATATTTAAATTTTCATGTATCCACCTCCTAGCACCCTATCAGCCCCATCATGTGTTCCATCAATAATTCTCCTTGTCATTGTGAGTGGGACAAAATGAAATAATCAAAGTAGTCACCCATGCCTAAACCTGGGAACTGTCTTAGCGTTCTTTTATATGCTACTGTTCTCTTATCCCCCCAAACTAGTAAATTTCTAAGACCTGTCCTTCTGAATGTTCTTACTATTTTCCCTGTGATCTCAGTTTCTTCTTCCCATC
Source organism: Homo sapiens (assembly GCF_000001405.40). Taxonomy (NCBI): domain Eukaryota; kingdom Metazoa; phylum Chordata; class Mammalia; order Primates; family Hominidae; genus Homo; species Homo sapiens. The sequence goes on along the minus strand of NC_000015.10, from coordinate 84,558,168 downwards.
CCTCAAATGCTTTTTGTGTGTGTGCGTGGTGGCGAAGAGAGTAAAATTGAAATTCATGGAAAATGTACTACCCTGTCTTTCTTTCTTTCTTTCTCTCTTTCTCTCTCTCTCTCTCTCTCTCTTCTTTCTTTCTTTTCTTGCAATGAAGTCTCGCCTCGCTCTGGTCACCCAGGCTGGAGTACAATGGCACAATCTTGGCTCACTGCAACCTCCACCTCCTGGGTTCAAGTGATTCTCGTGCCTCAACCTCCTGAGTAGCTGGGATTACAGGCATCTGCCACCATGCCCAGCTAATTTTTGTATTTTTAGTAGAGATGAGGTTTCATCATGTTGGCCAGGCTGGTCTCAAACTCCTGACCTCAGGTCATCCACCCACCTCGGCCTCCCAAATTGCTGGGATTACAGGTGTGAGCCACTGTGCCTGGCCACTACCCTGTCTTTCTTGTTGCTTGGTATGACTCACTAACCTGCTGCCTCTCTCCCACTGCAGTGGGATAATTTAGGAATCCGAGAGACTGAGGGGTTGAGGAGGATATATATTATTATTTAGGTGCACCGGCCCAGTCAAATTAACATCTAAAGGACTGAGCCCTGAACAAAGAGTCAGGTTACCTTTTAAGCATTTTGTGGGTTCGGGGGAGATCTGTGCAAGGGGAAGCATATTACAGAAGCAAGAAACAAAGACAGTTATTCAGTTGAGACATGCATTACATTATTTCTTACTTTTCAAGGAAAAACATGTTTTACAACTTGAGTTTATCTGTCTAGTGACCTTGCAGCTGCACAGCTAGAGAAACAGGGTCTTCACAATGCCTGGGAGAGGAGGAGAGATGAGGTTCACTAGCCTCAGAAAAACAGGCAGTTAATTTTTAAAGGACTCCACCTCTTTTTCTTTCTTAGGGGGAATTCGGTTTTTTTTTTTTTAACAAACAGTGTTTGCTTACACATTCTTTTTTATTATTATTTTTATACTTTAAGTTCTGGGATACATGTGCATAATGTGGAGGTTTTTTACATATGTATACATGTGCCATGTTGGTATGCTGTACCCATTAACTCATCATTTACATTAGGTATACCTCTCCCCTCCCCCCACCCCACAACAGGCCCCAGTGCGTGATGTTCCCCATCCTGTGTCCAAGTGTTTTCATTGTTCAATTCCCACCTATGAGTGAGAACATGTGGTGTTTGGTTTTCTGTCCTTGCGATAGTTTGCTGAGAATGATGGTTTCCAGCTTCATCCATGTCCCTACAAAGGACATGAACTCATCCTTTTTTATGGCTGCATAGTATTCCATGGTGTGTATGTGCCACATTTTCTTAATCCAGTCTATCATTGATGGACATTTGGGTTGGTTCCAAGTCTTTGCTATTGTGAATAGTGCCGCACTAAACATATGTGTGCATGTGTCTTTATAGCAGCATGATTTATAATCCTTTGGGTATATACCCAGTAATGGGATGGCTGGGTCAAATGGTATTTCTAGTTCTAGATCCTTGAGGAATTGCCACACTGTCTTCCACAATGGTTGAACTAGTTTACAGTTCCACCAACAGTGTAAAAGTGTTCCTATTTCTCCACATCCTCTCCAGCGCCTGTTGTTTCCTGACTTTTTAATGGTTGCCATTCTAACTGGTGTGAGATGGTATCTCATTGTGGTTTTGATTTGCATTGCTCTGATGGCCAATGATGATGGGTGTTTTTTCATGTGTCTGTTGGCTGCATAAATGTTTTCTTTTGAGAAGTCTCTGTTGATGGGGTTGTTTGATTTTTTTCTTGTAAATTTGTTTAAGTTCTTTGTAGATTCTGGATATTAGTCCTTTGTCAGAGGGGAAGATTGCAAAAATTTTCTCCCATTCTGTAGGTTGCCTGTTCACTCTGATGGTAGTTTCACATTCTTTAATTTCTTTTAATTCCTGTTTCACCCCAGCACTCCTGTAGCCCCTTCTGTGCCAGAGGTCAGAGTGTGCAGGTCTGTGTCCAGATCACCCTGCCTCATCTTCATTATATACTTAGCACAAAACAGAGCACATTGCGTGCATAATGAATCCACACTGGGGCTTGGCTTCCTTTTAAGCATGAGGATTTTTGGTGTATCCTAATTTACGGTTCAACCTTCCTGTTTCCACTTGCTTCATTGTTCACTTTGGGAAGGCTTATTCTTTGCTTTGTTAACCCATTCTAATCCTGTGTCTTCTTACTTTGTCATTTGTAAACCTGCTTCTTTCTCTTCATCTCTTTTCTTGGTCAGAGACACCCAGAAAATTGTTCCTGACCAAGTGAAGTGAGTGCTTATTAGATCCCATATGAGTCACCTTATACATTAAAAAACATTTTAAACAATGAAAACCACACTTGTGCACATAGTTTACCTTGCTTATTTCCTTAAAGTAAACAATCTTACAATACAATTTGGACTTAAACATGGAAACTTACAGTTATTTTTTGCAGTTTCCTAGTGAATGATTATTTTTTAGACAGACACTTAAGAGCCTACTAAGTATCAAGTGTTTTACAGGTTTCATTTAATCTTTACTATTCCGGGGAAGTTTTCATTTCCTTGTTTTACAGATGAGTACACTGAAACTCAAGGAATTAGATATGATATCCAAGGTCATCTAGATTTCCAGGCTCTGTCTGCTGGATCACATTTGCTTTTGTACTTTTAACTATGACTGGAATATATAATTTTATAATCCATGTGTAACAATACTGCCTGTGTGTGGTTTTTTTTCTTTTTCCTTTTTGGGTCACCTCATTAATGCAGTAATGTTCTCTTGTTTGAAGTTGTAAGTTTCTAAGAAAACAAGGTAGCAATGAGAAATTGGACAATGTCTGGAACTTCCTTCCTCTGCCTTTATTGTTGTCATTCCATTAGGTATCAGTTGTAGTGATTATACACCAAGCCATAGTAACTTTCTTAAACTAGAGGCTCCTGAAAATATTTCAAAGAGTTTTTTAAAATATCTGTAAGCTGCAGTTGAGCAGTAACAAACTTTTTTATTTCCTACTGGATTGATTGCAGTAGTCATACCATTATTGATGTCTTCTCAGTGCTCTTTAACATAATGCTTATTTACTGAAATGTGTTTTGTAGCTTCATCAGCAATGGAAGTGGCTGATATGTGGACTCTGCAGATTATATAACCTTCCTAAGCACCCGAATGTTGAGATGCCAGATCAACCACTACCCATGGGTCAGGTAAAGTAAAAATTCTGTAGTGTTCAAGAGCTAAAATAAATTGTCTCAAACAAAAGTCAAACTAGGATGATTTTTTAAAAATTATTCAACTTATTTAGAAGTTAGTTTTTCTGTTCCTATTGAATTGTTTGTTCTGTTTTAGATACTAAAAATAACATTTTCATTCTTTGGAACTGCTGGTATTTAGTATGGCAGGCAAACAATTGCCCTTTTCCCTAACACCAGCTTTTTGTTGTGAATATTCCTGGGGTCCATAAATGTTCTTGCTTCTTTCATTGTTTGTCTTTGCTTATTGACTTGCCTTCACCTAGAAATGCCATCTCCTTAAATCTGTCTATGCTTCTTAAGGACTCACCCAAATATTATCTCCTACAAGCAACAGAAATCTCCACTAGCTCACCACTACCCCTAACTTCTTCCTGGATTTACCTATTTAGGCATCAGCTATTGACTTTTTAGTATAATACATGAGAATTTAGCTCTTATACCACCCACTTTGCCTTCCTCAGATATTATCTTTAGTGATATAAGTAATCACTAATTATCATTAGGACTTCGAGAAGCCAAATTTTCTAGAATATTTAGGATAGAATATTTCTTTTCTTGGTGCTGCTTTTTGTTTTGCAATGTCTTCTCATAACAGTAATTTTTAATTTAAAAAATTCTGTTGTAGCCCTTTCTGTGAGATCTCCTTCTCTTCCAAAGCCTTTGGCTCCTGTGTGCCCATTTTGGCAGGTTGTTCTTCGGGTTGGCTGTGCACATGTCATCTTGAGGTTTTTCTCATCTGCTCTCCTAGAGTACATCCATTGTTTCCTGGATCCCATGTCATCTTTCTTGGCTTTCCCTTTGTCATTTTACCTGACTATGTCCTCAAGTAAAACCCTAAGAAAGCATGGAGTGGTATATTTTCTGATCTCTGGCTTCTGAAAAAATACAATGCAGTGTTTGGGTTTTGGAGCCAGTCTGAGATAGGTTTGAATCTTGGTTCTATTACTTCTTAGCTGTATGCCCTTGGGCTGATTCCATAATTGCTCTATGCATCAATTTCCATTTGCAAAATGGGGGAACCGGTAATAGTATTAGTACCTATGTTTCTAGGGAGCTATGAGGATTAAATGAGTTGGTACATGTAAACCATTTAGAACAGTGCCTGGTACTTAGCCCATCTCCATCACTATTCACTTTTGTCATAGTCTACCCTCACACTTGATTGATAGTTTGGTTGATTATGTACTTCTAGGTTGAGGATAATTTTACCTTAGAATTTCAAAGTCTGTGCTGTTGTCTTCTAACCAGTCATGGTGGTGAAGCCTCATGTCACCCTGAGTTTCACTCATTTATGCATGACTTTCTCTCTGGAAGCTTTTAGGAGTTTGTCTTTCCCTTGGTGAGCTGAAATAGCACAACATTGTACTTAGTGTGTGTCTTTTTTCATTCACTGTGCTGGGCACACTGAATCGATAGGCCTATGGATAGGCTCTTTCAATGTTGGAATCTTGAATCTTGTCATATTTTTGTTAACTTTCTCCTTTCCATTTTATTTGTTCATTTTGAAGTGTCTGTTAATTGGATTTTAGTCCTCTTGTTTGAGTCTTGTATCTCAGGTCGTTTCTAATTTTTTTTAATTTTAAGTTCTGGAATATTTTTCTTATTTTTTGACTTTTAGGAAATTTTATTTGGACAGTCTTAACTTTAAGTTTTGTTTTGGTTATTTATTGTTGCTTAACCAATTTTCCCAAAACTTAATGGCATAAAACTACACATTTGCCTATCTGTCACTACTGTATCAGTTAACTGGGGATAGCTGGACAGTTTTTCTGCTGGTCTCATTTGGCATCTCTCACTGTGTGGTTAGATGGTGTCAGGGACTGGTCATTTGGATTCTCAGCTGCAGTGGAATGTCTGAGACGGCTACTTCACCCACAGGTCTGCTGCCTTGGTGTTTCTTCATGTGGCCTTCCTCTCTGCATAGCATCTCATCCTTTCAGGCCTCTTCAAGTGGTTTCTCTTTCTCCAAGAGGATAGTTGGTACTTATTTTGGCTACTAGAAGCACAGAAGTGGAGCTGCCAGTGTTCTTAAGGCTTAGACCTGGAACAGGTCCAGTGTCATTTCTACCAAATTCTATAGGTTAAAGTGAGTCTTGAGGCCAACCCAGATTCACTGTGGGATGGGCCTGTCCAAGAACATGATAACAGGAGGTATGGCTCATTGGGGACCAACTCCCAAGATGAACCCTGAGTTCTAAGAACTTTTTCTTCTCTGATTATTCCTTATTCATATTCTATTTTTGTTTTATTCTTGTAATATATTCACAAGTGTCTTTATGAAGTGATTTTGATACTCTTTTGTCTTCACCCTAGCATCTCTTTGTTCTTTAATAAATTTTTTTCTTAGTTCATTTTGGTCTTATTTTTCTTCTTAAAACCTTTCCTTAAGTATCTATTCTATGTTGCTTATCATTTGTAGTCTTTTTTGAGACGGAGTTTCACACTTGTTGCCCAGGATAGAGTGCAATGGTGTGATCTTGGCTCACCACAACCTTTGCCTCCTGGGGTCAAGCGATTCTCCTGCCTCAGCCTCCTGAGTAGCTGGGATTACAGGCATGTGCCACCATGCCTGGCTAATTTTTGTATTTTTAGTAGAGAAGGGGTTTCTCCATGTTGGTCAGGCTGGTTTCGAATTCCTGACCTCATGTGATCTGTCCACCTTGGCCTCCCAAAGTGCTGGGATTAAAGACGTGAGCCACTGTGCCTGGCATGTACTCTTTGTTTTTTAATTCTCTTTTTTGTTCATTCATATTTGAGAGAGGTACTAAAAGACTGGGAGGCTGGGAGTGGTGGCTCATACCTACAATCTCAGTGCTTTGGGAGACTGACATGAGAGGATCACTTGAGCCCAGGAGCTCAAGACTAGTTTGGGCAATATTGTGAGACCCCATCTTTAAAAAAATAAATTAAAAAAAATAGCCAGGTGTGGTGACCTGTAGTCCCAACTACTTGGGAGGCTGAGGCAGGAGGATCGCTTGAGCCCAGGATGTTGAGGCTAAAGTGAGTTGTGATCATGCTGCTGCATTCCTGCATTCCAGCCTGGGTGAAAGAGCAAGATCCTTTCTCAAATAAATAAATAAATAAATAAATAAATAAATAAATAAATTAAATTAAATAAAAATTAAAAATAAAAAATTGATTGGGAGTTCTTCATGGCCAAGACTTGGCAACTGATAGCTTTTAGGGGGGAACATATGCTGATTCCTAATTGTCATCCTCTACCCCTCTATCTTATCTCCCGGTGCAATCATAAATGATGGCTGGAACTACTCCATTTCTCTGGAGGTGAAATCTACATTCTCTTGTCTGAGGTAGATATGTTTGCTTGGATTCTGCTTAAGGAGATGGAGGAGAGCAGTGTGTTTCAGGGCCTGGAAAATGTTCTCTATATAGGCTTTTGATTGATGTCTGTTTTCAGTCTTGCCTATCAGTCGACTCTCGGGGGTACCTGGTGTCTGAGTCTAGAACCTTTCCAGGTTGCTGTGGGACAAATTAGCTTCCTTCTTATTGGTATCCCCCTGACCTCCACTTTTGTTTGCTTGCTCCATTAATTAACCATTTTCCATTTACTGTCATTTTCTAATGGAGGTGAATTCTCTTCTGTGGGTAACCCCATTTCTTTTTTTTGTAATTGTGTGTTTATATAATGTTTATTCTTCACTGTATTTCTAGTGGAGCCTCAGGACAAAGAGCAGATGGTGGAAATATGTGTTCAGTGTTCAGTTTTTTTTCTGTAAGACATCTGCAACTTGTGTTTTTCACTGAATATCACATGGACTTAATGCATATAGAGCTACCTTGTTTTTCATGATTGTGCCTACAATTCTATGGTGAAATATAATTTGTGAATTACCTGATGAGATTTTCCTAATGTTGAATCATCCTTGCATTCCTATAATAAACACTGTTAGAATGGCTATGTTAATATTTTATTTTTGCATTTTTACTTCTGTATAAAATAAGATTATAGTTTTGTTTGTTTCTTTTAAGGCTCTTATTTCATTTCAGTATCAAGGGCATGCAGGGCTAACTTGGGAAGCTTTACATCTTTTTTCTAAGACCTAGGATGTAGATCTAGTTTACACAGTAATTTTCAACTGCAGGAATATTTTGCCTCCCATGGGACATTTGGAAATATCTGGAGACATTTTTGTGGTCACAACTGGTCACGGTCGGGAGGTCTTATTGGCATTCTGTGGGTAGAGGGGATGTTACTAAATGTCCCACAACACACCAGGAGAACCCTCACAAAGAATTGTCTGGCCCAAGATATCAGTATTGCTGAGGCTGACAAACCCTGGTTTAAATAAATGTCCAATTTGGAGGATGAGTCTTTGTCTTTTTCCTTCTTCTGCGTATTGGTCTCCAGATTTTCCGTTTCTTCAGTTAGTTTTCGTAAGTGTAGATTCTTTAAAGAAATGAACACTTCATCCATACTTCTAAGGTGTTGTAAAGATGTGTAAAGTTTTCACTTTTTGCATCATATTCACATGTGGCTATATGCCCTTTTGTCTTCAAAGTTTTCTTTATCTTGATCACTTATCAGAGGCGTGACTGTTTTATTATCTTAGGCTTTTGAAAGAATCCTCCTTTAGTTTTATTTTTTAAATTTAGTGGGTTGTTTTCACATTTTCCTTATGTCTTAATTATTTCCCCTTTTTGTTTATTTTGCTTTTTCTAGTTTAGTGGATCAATGTAATTTAACCTGCTTTTTAAACAAACATGTAAGGGTATACATTTTCTTTGGGTGCTGTTTGACTTCATTGCACAAGTTTTAAAATCTATTTTCTAAATAGTTTGTATTTTCCAAGTCATTTTATTGCATCCTCTGTTCACATTGCTCTTACTATTAAAACTTTTTATTTGCCTGGCATGGTGGCTTATGCCTGTAATCCCAGCACTTTGGGAGGCCAAGGCAGGTGGATGACCTGAGGTTGGGAGTTCGAGACCAGCCTGATCAACATGGAGAGAGCCCGTCTCTACTAAAAGTACAAAAATTAGCTGGGCATGGTGGTGCATGCCTGTAATCCCAGCTACTTGGGAGGCTGAGGCAGGAGAATCGCTTGAACCCAGGAGACAGAGGTTGCAGTGAGCTGAGATCACGCCACTGCACTCCAGCCTGGGCAACAAGAGTGAAATTCCACCTCAAAAAAAAAAAAAAAAAAAAAAAGACATGTATTGAAATTATGTAAAACATAAGCTTAGTGTAACATATAGTTAGAGCGAGTACTTGGGAACTAATACCTAGCCAGCACCAAGGTGAAGAGAAGGCACATTGCTTGCACTACAGAAACCTTCTGCAGGCTGCTTCCTGATCACCATGCCTCTGTACGCTCATCTTGCCTTATGTTTCTCTAGTGTTATCACTCATATATGCATCCTTCAACAATACAGTGTAGTGTTGCCTATTATTTGGGCTTTTGAAAATCATAGTATATGTATTTTTTCATATCTTTGTTGTGCTCAACGTTGTGTGTGAAATTTGTTCCTATTGTGTGTAGCTATAGTTCTTTTGCATTGCTGTATTTACTCCATTGTTTGAATACACCATACCATTTATCCCCTTGACTAGATACAGACATGTGGGTGGTTTCCAGTGTTATTAGGAACAGCGATTGCTGCTATGGTCATTCTTGTCTGTATTTCATGGTACCCTTGTGCCAGCATTTCTCTGGGGCTCATACTTAGGAGTTGGATGACTGAGGCATGAGGATCAATTTCTTCTTTTACCCAAGAGTTATCTAGAACAAAAAAATTTAAAAAGCATTTTCAGGTGGCTTTTGAGGTATTTTTAGTGCATCAATATGGTCAGAGAATATGGCCTGTGACCTTTCAGTGAGATTTTCAGCAATCATTTAGACTTCACTATTGGTGTTACTGTTGCCTTTGCTTATTGCTCTTCTTGTATTATGTCTCCTGCTCCCTGCCCCTCAAGTATATCCCTGAATAATATCCTGGGTTTTTTTTTTCCTAGAAAGGGTTTGTGGGGATGTGTATGGAGTGTGTTCTGTGCACTTGCTGTCTGTTATCATTTGTTCAACAAATATTTGACTCTGTATAAAGTACTCCATCCATATCGGTGTGGAGAATCCAGAGGCAAACATACACAGATATGCTTCCTGTCTTGAGGGAGCTAGATATAGAATTCTGAGATCATAATTGAGTTTCTTTCCAGGTCTTTATACTTTTATGTTCTGATATTGTTGTAGATGAAAAGTCTGATGCCTATCTGATTCTTAGTTCTTTCTGATAGTTAGTATGATTTTCTGTGTAACTGTAAAGTGTGGGGGTTTTACTTTTTTTTTTTTTTTTGAAACAGAGTCTCACTCTGTCACCCAGGCTGGAGTGCAGTGGTGCTATCTTGGATCACTGCAACCTTCACCTCTCAGGTTCAAATGATACTCCTGCCTCAGCCTCCTGAGTAGCTGGGACTACAGGCATGTACCACCATGCCCAGCTAAATTTTGTATTATTAGTAGAGATAGGGTTTCACCATGTTAGCCAGGATGGTCTCGATCTGCTGACCTTGTGATCTGCCTGCCTTGATCTCTCAAAGTGCTGGGATTACAGATGTGAGCCACCTTAATGTTTTGCTGAGTCATGTCCATTGTGTCCTGGCCCTTCTGCAACTGGTGTTTTGTTTTGTTTTCTTTTTTGGTTTAGAGGTCTTATTTTTACCTCCTAGAATTGTCTTTTGCATAGTAATCTGTTTTGTATTTTGTGGATACAGTATCTTCTCAATTACTGCTAAAGATTCCAATTAGGTTTTAAAATTCTGCTTATTTCCTTCATTAGCAGTGCTTCAGGTCATTCGTGCTTCTTTGACTTGGCACCTTCCTTTCAGGTTGCTAATTTTCTTCAACTCTCTGATGATACATGGTTATCTGTTCATTTATAGGTGAGGTATACCTTTGATCAGTATGAGTTGTTATGAGTGTCTTCAGAATTGTCACTCTTTTCTGCTGTGGCCTCCCCCTCCTTGTTGGCAGACCTGTGCTCTTCCTGTGGCATGAGGGTGGGGAGGTGCTGGTTGGTGAGCTTTCCAGATTTTGAGCTTAAAGGAAGAGGCAGAGCCTGTTATAAGATTTTGATGCTGCATTGAGTTACATTGAAAAAGCATTCTGTCTTTTCTCTCTGGTTTTGACACTGATAGTGAGAGACCATCAAGACAGGCTTCCTATTACCAGAGTGATCCTTACCAACTATAGTTGGGACAGTACAGTGAAGAATGTTTGATCCTTCAAACAGAAGTGGCCCCTCCATTATTTGGATTGTGTTTGTGGCTTTCTCGCGCCCAGCAGTCTGATTTCATCTGCTTTGTATCTTCTAGCATGTCCTTATAGTTTTGGTTCACTAAGGGTATTCTTTTTGTATTTGTTGTTTTGCTGCTGCTGCAGCCGACTTACTCTCTTTTATAAAGTTCTGTCATTTCAGTGGGGTTTTAGAAAGAGGACCAGGTCACATCTTGAAATGAAATTAATCTTAGGATTTCACAGCCCTAACTCACTTTTTGTTTTGATTAAATTACTTCCCCTTTTTGATGGGGTAGGGGCTCAGCTATCTCGTGTAAAATTAAGGCTAGTAACTGGGCTAGTGGTGACAGACCCAGATGCATGTGAGAATCACCTCAGAGAGCTTTTGCAAAACAGATTCTTCTGCAAAAATGCTCTTTCAACCACTGATGCAACCAAATTCTTTGGGACTTTGAGGCTAGGTATATATTCTTTAGATACCCAGAATAATTGGCTTTGGAATATAAGAATTTAGGGAAATGAAGAAGGGGTGAATTACATTTTGGAAGCTGCTGCTTAGATACTGCTGAGACCTTTGTTGGTCTTCATTTCTGGATCCTAGTTTCTTGATCTTTTACATATTCTGGGTTCTAACCTGAACTGGCCTTTATGGTTAAAGATGTATTTATATACTGTGTCCTGGCCAGGAAGCTTGCCTTTTGACCTTTGCCCAAACTGGGTACGAAGGCCCCTCCTAAAAATTCATTAGATTAATTTCTGAACTTGATAATTGTAATTTGTGTTAATTGGTAAATTGTGTCTTGTAGAGAGATATTTGATAGTAAATTACATGTTTTTAAAAAGACAATTTGCTTTATAGTGAGGTGGTAATCAATTCATACTCTTAGTTTTGGGAAGTGTCTATTATAAGTAACACATCTGACCTCTTAAAATGTAAGGAAATTGAATTTATGTAATGATTCAGGCTTTTCAAAGTTAAAAATGTAGCTGTTTTGAGGAATTGATAGTTTGGTGTATTTATTTTAAACAAAATAATCCTTTGATCTTATGCACATAGCCGTACAAATAAAATGTTTTCTTATTTTAAATTAGATTATGTTTTAAAATTTTTTTCAGTTTTGCTTTATATTTGACTGATTGCTTTTCTTTATTCCTAAGGCATTCATTAAGTTGAATTGTTCAAAATTGTTTCATTTTTAAAAGCTGAGAACTGTTGTTTGTCAAATCAAAGTTGGATTTAAAAATGCACATTTTAACTTTAATAAGCTCTCTGGTAGTGGGACTGCAGTGACAGATGGTTGGGAGTTTGTCACTAAAGCTATGACACCAGTCTTCTAAGGTGCATATTTGTTCTGTGTAGTTCTGGCAGATTCTTTCTCTATTTCAGAATGGGACAACAGAAGAAGTGACTTCAAAAGAAGAGGAAGAAGAAGAGATGGATGAAGTGGGTATTTTATATAAGAATAACATTTTGGCCAGGTGAGGTGACTCATGCCTGTAACCCCAGCACTATGGGAGGCCATGGCGGGTGGATCACCTGAGGACAGGAGTTTGAGACCAGCCTGGCCAACATGGCGAAACTCTGTCTCTACTAAAAGTACAAAAATTAGCCGGGCATGGTGGTAGGCACATGTAATCTCAGCTACTCAGGAGGCTGAGGCAGGAGAATTGCTTGAATCCGGGAGGTGGAGGTTGCAGTGAGCCAAGGTCGTGCCACTGCACTCCTGCCTGAGTGACGAGCAAGACTCTGTCTCAAAAAATATATATATATATATATCATAAATATCTTCTGTTTTGGACATTTGAGTAATTCTCTAATCTCCTTTATAAAGAACTATTAATATGGAATAATTGAAAGCACATCGTATTTGGAATGGAATGTAATTTATAAATTCTGGCTTTACCTCTAACTCATGATATGCCTTTGAGCAAATTGTTTTATCTGAATTCTTGGATTTTATTTTCTGGAAAACAAAAGCTCTTAAGTTTTAACACTAAAATTATATTTAATACTAATCAGTACTTAACCTGTATTTGGTTATTTTTTGGAAGAGAAACTACTGAGTTTAAAAAATTTTATGTTTGCATAAAAGGAGAATTTCAGAATATTTTAGAGACTACCTGTCAGAAGTAGTGAAACTGTCTCTTGCTGAAAAATCATTCAAAGAAATTTGTCTTAGTCTGTTTTATAGTATTGTGACAGAATAACAGAGAGTGAGTAATTTATGAAGAGCAGTCATTTATTTTCTGACAGTTCTGGAGTCTGGGAAATCCAAGATGAAAATATCAACATTTGGTGTCTCAGGACCTTCTTGTTTTATCCTCACATGGTAGCAGGCAGAAGGGCAGGAGAGCAAGCTGGTCCAATGTGTGAAGCCTCATTCATAAGGGCCTTAATCCCATGAAGGAGAAAGGAGCCCTCTTGGCCTAATCACCTCTTAAAAGTCCTACCTCTTAATATCATCACATTGGCAACAGTTGAATTTTGGAGGGAATACATTCAAACAGTAGCAAATTTAGTAGAGCAAATTCCAAAGACATTGAGCCTAGGCCAGTTGTCAGTCATGGGTATAATTTTAGATGTTTTCTGGCTCTGAAGCCTTGCATTTAAATTTGAACTTCAGAACAAAGATCTATGTCTCTGCATTGACCAAATAGAATGTATGTGAATTCCATGGTATTGATTGTTTTAAAAGATTTTTTTCTGTTTGAGGTCTTATAATTAATTTAGGCTTTCATTTTCTTGGTTTGGAAATTATTAATCTAAAATGTACTTTAGAGTGCTTCAGAACTAAAAAAGTAGTGTTGTAGGCTTGCTTTTGTTTGTTTTTTGAGACAGGGTTTCACTGTCACCCAGGCTGGAGTGCAGTAGCGCCGGCATGGCTCACTGTAACCTTGAACTCCTGGGTTCAAGCGATCCTCCTGAGTAGCTGGGACTACAGGCCGGTGCCCCACGTCCAGCTAATTTTTATTTTATTTTATTTTATTTTATTTTATTTTTATTTTTTATTTTAGCGTTTGAGTCTCACTCTGTTGCCCAGGCTGGTCTTGAACTCCTGACCTCAAGTGATCCACCACCTCAGCCTCCCAAAGTGCTGGGATTACAGGTGTGTGCCACTGTGCCTGGCTGTAGGCTTGTTTTATGAGTCTGGGAGTAAAATACTTCTTAAAATTGTCCAATTAGAATGAAAGTCTGTTTTAATGTTTTTATGCAGTTTAGCTTAGGTGGAATAAACTGCATGAAAACATTAAACCTTTTCCATAGGTCAGGCAGCCATTGTACTAAAGTTCATGAACCCTTTCATTTTCCCTTCACAAGATAAAAAACAAGGGACCGCAACTTTGAGGGAAATCTAGAAAGGTAGGAGACTGGACTTTGGAGTTGTCAGATTAGGACAGGTGAAAAGCAGATATTCTAGGCTCCTAAAATAATGTGGGAACAGGCCCAGAGCAACTTTGGACATGGTGTGTTTGGGTGCACTGGATGCTTTTCTTTTGAGAAGGAAGGTTGATGTGTTGAAGTCATGGAAAGCAAGATTGTCCAGAAAAGACAGATGGACAGAAGTCTTGAATTTGAGACAGGCATGTTTCTATTTGGTGTGTTTGTTGATAAGAAGGCCTTAAGCAGGGAATCGTGTGCTGAGAATATTGTTTTAGAAAGATATGTTGAATTCTGTTTGGGATGTGCTGATTAATACTTAGGTGGAGAAGTTTTGTGGATGGGAACATGACTGAGGTTGAAGGTACAGGTGGAAATACAGGCCAAAGGCATTTGTGAGCATTGTGGGGAAAACAAATGTGGATAGAAGATCAGGGCTGAAAGGTGCACACAGGGAGAAGGGAGCTCCATGAAGTACAGACTCATGGGCAGAGTTTGAGTGAAGGTAGTCGGTAGTCTGGTCTAGAAGTCGGTGAATTAGCTGGCTTGGGAAAAAAAATCGAGATAAATATAAACTACCCCTTTAGAGATTTTGGCAATTGAAGTAGAAATATAAGGTAATTGAAAAAAGTTAGGATTTAAACAATTCTGCATATGTTTGTATATATGTAAGAACAGATAGTATGGGAAGGGAGGGAGCAGAATGATGTGAATAAAGATGTTATTCTGTGGGGTATTATTCAAATTCTTTTGAAATTATTATTAGTTTTTGAGATAGGGTCGCTGTCACCCAGGGTGGAGTGCAGTGGCATGATCATAGCTTACTGCAGCCTCGAACTCCCGGGCCCAAACAATGCTTCTATTTCAGCCTCCTGAGCACCTGACATCAAATTCTTTTTCTAACTTATTTTTAAGTTATTAGCATCAATAGGTGCTTACTACATAAAACCATAAACTTGGAAATTAGGGGAAAGCACCAAATGTCTCCAGAGATAACAACTAAAATTAATTGAAATTAACATTTCAATGTAAGTTGTTCTGGTCTTTTTCTGTGCTTATTTCAGCATAATTTAAATTCTTTCTATTCCTTTGTGTAATCCATTTTTCATTTCAAAGTTTTTCGATACAGGAGAAATTATGCCGTGTTGATATTTCAGTGGCTTCTTAATAGTTCATGGAATTGAGTTAACTGTTTTGCTATTTTTTCACATGCAGATTTTGTGTTTGTTTTTGTGGTTGCAAGGTTGAAATAGGTATCCTTATGCCTAAATTTGTGTTTACCTCTTAGACTAGTTTCTTGTAATACAGTTCTAGAGGTCGAGTGTCTGGAACAAACTATGAACACTTAAGGTTCTTGACACCTGCTGCTAAACTGTTTCAAAGGTTCCTCTTAAGAGGAGATTTAAAAGATGGCTTGGCTGGGCGTGGTGTCTGATGCCAGTAATCCCAGCACTTTGGGAGGCTGAGGTGGGCAGATCACTTGACGTCATAAGTTTGAGACCAGCCTGGCCAACATGTTGAAACCCTGTCTCTATTAAACATACAAAGAAATTAGCTGGGTGTGGCGGTGTACGTCTGTAATCCCAGCTACTCAGGAGACTGAGGCATGAGAATCACTTGAACCTGGGAGGCAGAGGTTGCAGTGAGCAGAGATTGCCCCACTATACTCCTGCCTAAATGACAGACTGAGACTCTATCGTACAAAAAAAAAATAAAATAAATTAAAGAAGTAAATAAATAAATGATGGCTTATTTCATAATAGTTGTGACTTTGTAAAGCTTTTAAATCTGCTTTCCCCAGAGTCTAGCTTTTAAATAAAATACAGGATATAAAAGGTGGGAGCCTCTTGAATGGAATGTGGGGGCTTTTTCTCTCTCCCCATAGGATAGATATATTCTGTTTCCTGTCCCCCACCGAGTCAAGAATAATTTAAGTTTTGGCATAAGAAACTGCTGAAGGAAAGTGGGTTGAATCGGCTAATATTTTTCTTCTTTTTGCAGGATATAGAAGACTTAGATCACTGTGAGATGAAAGAAGAGCCTACTAGTGAGAAGAAGTTGGAGGATGAAGGAACTGAAAAAGAAAACTGGGCAATATTAGAGAAAATTAGGAAGACTGAAAGGCAAGGCCATTTAAATGTGTAAGTGTGTATAAATATCTGTACTTTTTGGTGAAGTAATCATAGTTAATACCAGGAAATTCATGAACATGCTGATCTCAGCTGCTCTCCTCCTCCATTCCTGCCTTAGTGGTGGATTCAGTCATATGTTTATTGGTTTTGAGATAGGGTCTTGCTCTGTCACCTGGGCTAGTGTGCAGTGGCACAATCATAGTTCACTGTAGCCTTTATCTCCCAGGCTCCAGTGGTCCTCCTACCTCAGCCTCCCAAGTGTCTCAGACTATAGTCATGTCCCACCACACCAGGCTAATTTTTTTGATTTTTAGTAGAGATGAGGCCTCACTATGTTGACCATGCTGGTCTTGAACACCTGAGTTCAAGCAGTCCTACTACCTTGGCCTGCCCAAGTGCTGGGATTACAGACATGAGCCACCATGCCTAGCCACACTCATATGCTTTGTTGCCCAAGGTTATCTTTCTCATCCATGAATAGC
The DNA here is from genome assembly GCF_000001405.40 of Homo sapiens. Lineage (NCBI taxonomy): Eukaryota > Metazoa > Chordata > Mammalia > Primates > Hominidae > Homo > Homo sapiens. The sequence goes on along the minus strand of NC_000015.10, from coordinate 84,541,671 downwards.
CACTTTTTACCCTGTTGATCTGCTCTTCACATCCTGGAACCACCTGCTGATCCCTGTATATGCCCCTTTCCAGCTTGTCTATGCTGTGTTCTCTGCTTACCTTCCTTCTGTGGCATCTGTATATTCAAGTTCATTCTCTCCTACAAAACACAACTCAAATTATTTCTCCTTCATGAAGCTGACTTTGATCCATCCTGCTCTGACCAAACCAAAAGTAGGGTTTCTCTTTTGACTTAACATCTCTTTTATGTGAAGCGGCAGGATGGGAAAGGAACACAGAGTTTGGTGACAAACACACCTTTTATGGTTTCACTTTGCGCAACTCTAAAATATGGATAGACAGTACATATCTTTTGGATGGTTGCTATGAAAAATAAATTAAAATGATGCATGTTACACATAAAATGCTTAGACAGAGCAGGGAAACATCAAATGATTGTCTGAACACTTACTGCTTCCTGCCTTGTATTAGAGCTATTTACCAACTCCACAATATCCGAGGACCAGTTACTTTGTCTTGGGCACAGGTTCTCCAAAACAGGGAATGAATTGTTAGGCAAGCAGATGTCAAGTGTTGCAATCAGATAGATAACTCTCCCCCCTTCAATCTTATTTGTATATTAATTTAATTGGTAATTTTTCATACAGCAAAGAAATTTAGTTAATCCCCATATCTTGATTATTTAAAAAACTAAGATTGTAGCATTTGAATTAATGTTACTGTACTTTCTGTGTCTTGTGATCAAGTCCACTTTGAGTTATCTTCAAAACAAGTAAAAATTATTGAATAATTTTGTATGACAGATACTATGCTAAATACTTTATACTTAATACTTTATAGATCTTTTCATTTAGTCATCATAGCCACTGTGTGAAATAGGTGCTGTTTATACTTTAGAGATAGGAAAAACTCATATTTTATAGATATGAAATTAGTTCAGGATTATATAGCTAGGAGGTAATATTTTTATAAACTTGATTTTTTTTCCCCTTCAAAGTCTAGTGCAGTCTTTAAAAGCTTTAGTTTCACATGACCAAAAAGTAGTTCCATTTTTATTTAGTCTTAGGATAAGATATCGATGTGTTTTCATCTTTAGAGAAGTCCCTGCACTGAAAAACTGAAACCAGTTGCATGTAGGCACACATGGTTCTCAGTGTCTTCATGTGTGAACTAGACCATCTGTGTAATATTCTTGCTTGTAGTCTTATGAATGGAAGCCTATTTTACTTAATATTGTGTCACCTTGAGTATTTTCAAATATTGCTGGGGTTTGAAATAGACTCATACTGAATTCTGTGCTATCGTGGAGTCCATGGTGGTATGAACATGTTGGCTAGAGTTTTTTAGGTGATAGGAAAATGGAAATGAACCAGACTTGTGTCTAGTTTTATATTCCCTTGAAACTTCATAATGCTTCATTTAATTGGACTTTTTTCTTTTACTTCTTAAATTGTTGAATGGTGATCCATTTTTGTTGTAATCTTTTTCTTTTCTTTTTTTTTCTTTTGAGATGGAGTCTCGCTCTGTGGCCCAGGCCAGAGTGCAGTGGCACCATCTCAACTCATTACTATCTCCACCTCCCAGGTTCAAGTAATTATCTTGCCTCAGCTTCTCCAGTAGCTGGGACTACAGGCACGTGCAACCATGCCCGGCCAACTTTTGTATTTTTTTAGTGGAGATGGGGTTTCATCCTGATGGCCAGGCTGGTTTCAAACTCTTGGCCTCAAATGATCCGCGCCCCTCAACCTCCCAAAGTGCTGGGATTACAGGTGTGAGCCACCGTGCCTGGCTACTGTAATCTTTTAGAGCAGGTTGAAATACCTTAAATCTTTAAATTAGTTGGCTCAGTAGACCCTGGTAAACAGCAGCTTTTGTGTTTCAGGCTGCAGTGTCTGGGTCAGTGCAAGCTTCAGATAGACTTAAGAAAGAGTTCAGGGACTTATACAGATCACAGAGTTATAAGACAGGTAAGGATCTCCAAATCCCTGCTCTTCTTATCATTCTTTTGTTCTTTTCTGTTGTCAGATTATAAATGTCGTTTCTTAAAACTGGACAGAAATGGAAATGTTTACTAGCTTTATTTTGTGAAACTCAAATGTAATCAAGTTCCAAAAGATGTAGGGAGTAAGATAGGATGAGTTTGCTTGTTTTTTGGAATTAAAGAAATTGTTTTTATAGGTCCATTGGAATTTTATTTTGCCATCTTCCTGATAGAGTGAATATTTGCATGATTTTTATCTTCTGGCAAAAAGCTTGAGCAATATTGCTTGATAATTTAATACAAATAATACATTTCAATATACAGAGAATGATTGCCAAGTTGATTTTGTGATTTTTTCCCCCAGTTTTGAAAGCAACATAATCAACTCTTATTGTGGAGGTAGTTATGTTATTACTTTTAAAATATATAGGTGGAGTACACTTATAGTCCCAGCTACTAGGGTGGTAGGAGACTGAGGCAGGAAGATCTTTTGAGCTTGGAAAAGTCAAGGCTGCAATGAGCCGTGATTGCACCATTATATTCCAGCCTGGGTGACAGAGTGAGACACCCTGTGTCATAAAACAAAAAAAAGGGAGAGTGGGAGGTGGGATACATATTTATATATGTATATATAGGACAGTTGTAGAAAAATACCAATTTTTTGGTGATTTAACTTTTTTGACAGCTCTGTCCATGGCAAATTTTTCTCCTTGAACAGCTTGGCTAGTAATACAAGTTTAGGAAAGCATATTAAACTTTTTTTGAATTCTTGAGAAAATTATATACATGTGACTGTTTTCCTTTAGAATGACTGCAAACTCTGAACCCCCTTATTCGATTAGATTTAGGCTATTATAATCTCTTTGGGACATTTATTCTAAAGGAGCTGGAAGCTATAGTGGCCTCTAGTTTTCCTGGGGATATAAAGCAGCTTAAGGTCTCCTCTTTCTGGAAATTACCCTAGGTGCTGTATTTTAGCTTTCAGATTGGTTCATTTTTGAGTTAGTAAAATTAATACAAATAATAATAATAATCTTTTTGTTTGAATTGTTTTTTGTTTTGGAATTCTCAAGGTTGACCCTGATAGTTCTTTGCACAGTGATCTTCAGATCTTAAAAGAAAAAGAAGAGATAGGAGACATTTTGCTTATGTTTTAAGGTAAGAAAATTTTTATGAGACTCTATATCCTATGAATGGGGGTATATATTTGTACAAGTGTTTTGGAAAACAGTTTGGTAAAGTGGAAGATACTCATACCCTATGGTTCAGGAATCTCGTGGATATATACTCCACAAGAAATGAGTACATATGTGCCAGGAGACACAGGAATGTTCAGAGCAGCATCGTTTATAATAACCCCAAACAGAAAATAACCCAAATGTTCATTCCAATAAAATGGAGAATTGTGGTATTCATAAAATGGCTTACAGTCATGTGGGACAAGATGAGCGAATCTTGAACACTATGTTAAGCAAAAGAGACCAGACCCCCAAAACCTATTTTGTACAATTTCCTCTATATAGAGTTCAAAAATAGGCAAAACTAATGTTGGTTAGGGCATACATTCTTAGCGGAGGCAATATCGCCTGCAGTGGAGTGAAAATTGGTCCTCAGAGTGAAAGAAAATCTGACCTATTATAATGGTCTGCTGCCCTCCAAACAGCCATAGAACATAAAAGAAAACTGAGGAACACTTCTTTATGGATTCATACTTGGGCAGTAAAACTATCAAGAAAAAAGAGGCGATTACACACAGGGTAGGGTAAGGAGTCCATCTAGGTGGGAGGTAGGGAGGTGTGAACTGAAAGGTACATCTGTGGGCTTCTTGGATACTGGCTGTAATATATTTCTGGACCAGGTTGGTGGTTACATGGGCAAATAATTTAGAATAACTTGTTAAGGTCTACCTTAAGGTATACTTTGTGTACTTTTCTGAATGTGTTATATTTAATAAAGTACTTTTAAGATACTAAAAGGTTACAAAAGAATAAGAATGGAATCTAGAAAAAATGTTAATGATCTAATATGGAATCTAGATAAGATGTAATGTTTTAAAATCTATGGCTATATGAAGTATTTTGATGAAGCACACAGACATAAAAGAATACTTTGTTGTACTTTAAGGATGGTAGTAGTTTTCTAAAAGCTTCTTACTTAGCTTTTTCATGTGTGTATTTTTGCTTGGGGATATATCTTATGATTGAACTTTCTTGAAATGACCCTAATGTTAGTATTTTCTCTCAATTTTGTTATCATAGAAACTGTTGTGGTTGTCAACTGAGTTGTCTTCCTGAAGTATGAATCCAGTGTATATTGACTGAAGTTGCTAATGGCTACTTCTTTACGGATTCATATGGGTGAACGAATGAAGCACACGGGCCTACAACAAAAAAAACACACACACACACTAAACAGGAAGATACCATTTTTTAAAAAAAACATTAAATCATATGAACATATGCGCAACACCAAACTTCAGAAATAGAACCTTTGGCTGGGCGTGGTGGCTCACTCACGTCCATAATCCCAGCTCTTTGGGAGGCCGAGGCAGGTGGATCACCTGAGGACAGGAGTTTGAGACCAGCCCAGCCAGCATGGCGAAGCCCCATCTCTACTAAAAATACAAAAATCAGCCAGGCGTGGTGGCAGGTGCCTGTAATCCCAGCTACTTGGGAGGCTGAGGTGGGAGAATCACTTGAACCTAGGAGGCAGAGGTTGCAGTGAGCCAAGATTGCACCATTGCACTCCAGCCTGGGTGAGAGGAGTGAAACGCCATCTCAAAAAATAAAAATAAAAAAGAAATAGAACCTTATCAGTACCTGTAGCACCCTCTGTGCCCCTCCCTTGTCATGTCCTCTTTGGGAGGTATCTTGAAGGGAATATGAAATCTTGGCCAGGAAACTGGAGGATTTGTGACTGCAGGTGGTGTTTTCATTATTTTTTCCTGCTCTAGTTAGAACTTCAGGGAGGGGATGATCTGGGAGGTAAATGGCTGAAATGCTATTGGATTTGTGTTTGTGGCCCATGGCTCCTGATACCAGACAGAAGGGCCTTTTCTGGGGTTGGAGTATTTCTTAAGAGGCCTGGGAAGAATGTGATTGCCTTGAGCTAACTGACCTTCTGAAGAGGACCTTAAACTGAATTGCCAAGTTATTAGTATTGGGATTCACAGACTTTGGAGATTAGCAGGTATGACTCAGAAAGATTTACAGGAAAGAGCCAGAACAATATGTTTATGGCCTCTGATGTCCACAGTGACAACTTGAGAGTCGTGAATAATAAGCAAAATTGAACTTGAGATAAAGTATAACACAAAGATGGGAGTGACTGCAGGAGGGAATGTGCCCTGGTCAGCAACTTGGTAAATCCAACTTGCTGTACTTTTAAGGAAGTCGTTTTCTGATGTTACAGGCAACATCAGAATTACCGAATTGAATTCTGAGGTAGCACTTTAAGAAAGGTCTACTTAGATAAGGTTAGGTTCATTTAGAGAATAATAGCCAGGATTGGGAAGAGATTCTTTTCCATGTCCTAGGATAGCTGGTGAAATTGTGGATTTGGAGAGGAAAACATGGGGGTTCTGGTTCATGATAGATTGTCTTCAACTATTTGAAAGAGTATGTATATGGAAGCATTAGTTTTTATTTTTTTTGGTGAAGGCAGGGCATAAAACTAGAACTAATAAGTCAAATTACAAAGAGGTGATTTTCAACTCAATGTAAGGAAGTGACTTGTAACTATTTAGACCCATCTGGTGATGTAGTCTTTGAAAACTAGAATGTTCTTCATCTTTAAGAATAACTTAGAAGGCTGAGATGTCAAATGGGAAATCAGATAACTTCATGAGATCCTTGTAGAGCCTGAGAGTCTGGTTCTGAGTTAAAATATACTAAGGTAACTCAAACTTAATTTTACCAGTCACCCTCAACCTTTATTTTCCCCTCCCTGAAGAACTCTTTTTATTTCTGTAAAATCTTGATTCCTGAGTTCCAGGGTACAGAGCTTATGGAATAGAGTCCCCAGGTTTTGATGTAGAGGATCCTCTTTCTCCTGTCTGAAAATATCCTTTAGTATTTCCTTTAGTGTGAGTCTGCAGATAGAAAAAATCCTTGCTTTTTATTTCATCATTGAAGAGTATCTTCATTGAGCGTAAGTCTCTAGATGGGCAGTTTCCTTCTTTCAGCACTTGGCAGATATCATTCTCTTATGCCAGCTTCCATTGTTTCTCTTGAAGTGTTTATGGTGGTTAAATCTTGTGAAGTCTTTGATCAGTTTTGGGAAATTCTCCACAACCATATCTTCAGCTCTTGCTTCTGTCCCATTCTTGTTTTTCTTCCAGTGCTCTACGTATGTGATAAACTTTTCAATATGTTGTCTTTTATTTTCTCAATTTTCCACCTTTTTGTCTTTCTGACCTTTTTGCAGTTTACTGAATCTGTCTTCTGCTAGGTTACTGATGTGGTTAAGCTTATCCATTATGTTATTAATTTCAGTTTTGGTAGTTCTAAATTGCAGAATTTCATATGGTTCATTTTATAATTTGCGTTTCTCTGCCAGGTTTTCAGTCTTGTCCCATCTTTCCTTGCTCATGTTCGGCAGTTATTTTGAAGTGTGTCTGCTAACTCTGTTATCTCGATCCCTTGTGGTTTTGTGTCTGTTGTTTGCTTCTCTTGTTTTCTGTTATGTCATCTTTAAGTCTCATGTGGCTTTCTATTTTTAGTGATAGACATTATATATGGAAAAATTGTAGAGCTAATTTGAAGCCTTGGATGATATTCTTCTCCAGAGAGGATTTACATTTCCCCTGCCAGGGGCTTGGAAATTAACAATCAGGGATTGAGATGATTAAAGCTGGCCATCATTCCCTGTTGGGGCATTTTGCAGTTTGCTCTTCAGATTCCCAACCTAAGGAGTGGGAGACTTAGCAGGGCCTCTCCTCGGTGGATGCTGAGCTCCAATGTTTATCTCCCTGTGAGCTCTGTGAGGCTGTGAGTTCTAGCTCAGCTTGTTAACCTCTTCTTCTCTGCTGTCATTGGAAGAAAACCCAAGGTGTAAAAAAGAAGACCCTGTTCTCTGGTATTCCCTTTTCTCAGCCCTGTAATCATTACATTTTGTCCACCTTTCTAGTTCTCAGTGAGAGGATTGATCTAAGTTACCTACTCTATCATTATTGCAATGGTTCCTTTATATAGTTCTATTGAAGTGAAACCCCTTCATATGTTACATAAGTTTACCATAACACTGTTCTGTTTGGGCCTGATTTTAACTTCATTTTTATTTGCTTTGGTTTTCATTTCATTTTTTCTGTACTAATTTTACCTTTATGACTCTCACCCATTATCTGATAATAAATGTACATATTCTTTTATAGATTCTTTTAAAATCTTCTAAATAGTATATAGTATTAACGATGTTCTTAAAATTAATTAAACTTGCTTATTTGCTTTTTAGGATAACTTTCCATTTGATCCTCCATTTGTTTGAGTGGTGTTACCTGTTCTCTCAGGAGCATAAGTTTAAGTGATTAAGTGATTACTTGAAATGCTTTTTTTTTTTTTTTTAGTTTAAAAAATTTTTTTGTAGAGATGAGGTCTCACTATGTTGTTCTGGCTGTTCTTGAACTCCTGGGCTCAAGTGATCCTCCCACCTTGCTCTCCCAAGGTGCTGGGATGACAGGCATGAGCTGCTGTGCCTGGGCTACATTTTTTTTTTTAATATAGTGTGCACCAGAATCATTTGGAGAGCTAGTCCCAGGGTTTCAGATTCAGTAGGTCTGTGGTGTTGCCTGAGCATTTACGTTTTTAAGAAGTTCCCAGGTGAAACTGATACTGTTGTTCTGGGGCCTACATCTGGAACCACTGGTTATAAAGCATTATGTTGTTGATAGGTAGAGATTTTAGTGTTATATATATGCATATATACACATATATATACACACACACGCACATATTTACACATACACACACACATATATATATATATTCATACATACTTTTTTTATCATAAAAACCAAAGATTTTTCAAATGTAAATTGTGATTGAAGGTTTAGAGAACGTTATGATTACAGAGTGGTCCCCCACATACCTATGATCCTAATTAGTACTTCTAGGAATAATCATGGGAAATCTCATGGACCTATGGAGCTGGCTGATTACTTCTAGAGGTGATAGTTGCAGTGTAGTAGAATCAAATGGTAATTGTCATGCAGTTTTACTGAAATTTGTATTGCTTCTTTTTTGTGATTGGAAGTCTTACAGAAGTGGGGAAAAGTCACAGTTTGCTAGGTTAGTTATGAAATGTTCTGTAGACCCTTAAAGTATGAGCAATTTAAAGTAACTTGAGGATTTTCAAATACTCAGCTGACTAATTCCATTACGTGACATAATCCACCTTATGGTGATTAAAATCTAAATATCTCCAGCCCTTACTTTGATCATTTCTATGGTTGAGATAGTAATAGTTGCATTTAGGGTAAAAATATGAGTGACTACTTCAGACTTCAGAACTTTTCTCCAGAAGAGCTTTGTTGCTACAGTTATTTTTAGTTGTATTTGCTTTACATACTTATGCATGTGTTTTGGGGGCTAAGATCCTGTTAAGAATCATTTTGCATAATCAGAATACATATTAACTGTGGTGCTGATACTACGGAATAGTTGTCTGGACATGATATCCGTGTGTAAAAGTTCAGAGAAACAAGAAGTGTGGGTTTAAAAAAAAAAAACCTTAGTATTACATGTGGATGTGCTGAGCTCATTTTGAGTTTCCCCACACAGTAAAGGAATATTGGTTTTATTATTTAATTACTTAATTTTATTGAGACAGGGTCTTTCTCTGTTGCCCCAAGCTGGAGTGAGTGGTGCAATCACAGCTCACTGCAACCTCTGCCTCCCAGGCTCAAGCCATCCTGCCACCTCAGCCTCCTGAGAAGCTGGGACTGCAGTCGTATGCCAGCATACCAAGCTAATTTTTGTATTTTTGATAGAGACAGGGTTTCACCATGTTGCTCATGTTGGTCTCGAACTCCCAGGCTAAAGCGATCCACCCTGCTGAGCCTGACAAAGTATTAGGATTATGGGTCTGAGCCACTTTGCCCAGCCCAATGTTGTTTGTTAAAATTTTTTATTTATTTACTTATCTTTTGCTTTTCTGTTTTAATTTTTAAATTTCTATTTTTTTCAATATTGTGTTTTAAGAGTTTACTTACCTGACGCCTGCAGCCTAATCTTTGCCATATCTCCCCAAATGTTCTGTGAGTGCTAATATAGTGGTATGGTAATAGATATTTGTTTTGTGGGGATTGCAAGGTTTTGGGGAAGGCAGCTTCAAAATGTCTTTTACCAAAGGACTTCTTGGAGCCTTAATGCCATTTTCTATTTTTCCCAAATTTGTTTATTAGTGTTCCTGACAACATCTCAGAGGATGGTGTCTTCTGGCTTACTCTGGGAAATGCTGCTCTGTTGGAAATCTGGAGTTCTGAGTGATCCCCATGCGTTTTCTGGTACAGAGCAGGACATGCTGAAGTGATTCCTTCCTGAGCAGATGTCAGAGGTCTCCCTTTGACAGCTTGTTACAAAGTTGATCACAAATATACTATTACGGGGAGTGGAAGTCCCAGGTTGGGTGTGAAGCAGAGTTGTTTAGAATTGTGTACTATTTTGTTACCTTTAAATCTTTTCTAGGCTGTTTTGGTTTTGGCAGTAAAATTGCTATAAAAAGTACTTCTCTTGGCATACAACCTAATGGTCAGCTTTGGAAGTTCAGTGTTAGGTAACCCAGCCAAATACTTACGTATACAAAATAAACACAAGACTGAAAAATAGTAAATGTTTAACCTTTGTGTCTCTTGCTCACTACAGCAGCCTTTAACTAGCCACCAAGCCATAGTTCTTTTGTTTGTCATAGTTGAATTTCAAAATGTCTTTTTAATGAAGCCCTTCCTGATTGGGGAGAAAGGACATAAGTATTGTGCTTTAGTTTTATGTGCTGGTTTATAAAATTGTGTATGTTGACTCAATATCCCCATAAGCATAGGGAAAGGAAAACAGGTCATTTTTTGTTCAGAATCTTATTTGAGAAAAAAAAAAATGATCAAAGAAAAGATTTGCATAAAAATCTGCAAATTCAGGATAAATGTATGAAAACATTTTAAAATGTGATTATAAAATAGACCAGTATAGCTTTTCAACATTTGGTTGTAAGAATCCCAAGAATGTAAGTTTATGATCTTAGTATACCACCTAGAATCGAGACAAATACATGAGGTTATGAATCATGCCATTTTCAGTTTTAAAATCTGTTACATAGTTTCTTCATTGATTCTTTTTTGCCACAGTGTGTTATGGTCCTCATTATTTGGATGAATAATTTGAATAATAAGTCAGCTTGTGACTTACCTAAATAAATCTTCTGATTCCTAGTAAAGTGTTTTTCATTATATGAAATGCCAGCTATATAAGAGGAGATTAAAAGTACTAAGAACTATAAGTTCCGCATGGATTATCATATGCTAACCATGGGCCAGGCACGGTGGCACACACCTATAATCCCAGCACTTTGGGAAGCTGAGGCGGGTGGATCACTTGAGGTCAGGGGTTCAAGACCAGCCTGGCCAAGATGGTGAAACCCCATCTCTACCAAAAATACAAAAAAATTGCCAGATGTGGTGGTGCATACTGGTAATCCCAGCTACTCAGGAGGCTGAGTCAGGAGAATCGCTTGAACTCGGGAGGTAGAGATTGCAGTGAGCTGAGATTGTGCCACTGCGCTCCAGCCTGGGTGACAAAGATAAACTGCATCTGAACAAAAAAGAAAAAGAAAAGCTAAGCATGGACTTAATTTCTCTGAGGTTTAAAGCTGCAAAGAGTTGCTCTTCATGAAGTAGGTGGGATCTCAGCTGGGCAGTGAAATGTGAGTGGGGTTTGGTCAGCTGGTGGAGGCTGCAGGAAAATTATTTACGTAGGTGAAGAGTAAACACAATCAGGTATCTAGGAAAGAGAATGAGGAATTCAGAGTATACGAAACCAATTTGAGCTATAACGCAAGGAGGGTAGGATTCATGTAGAAGAGTTGTAGGAAATATTGCGGATGTAATATTTTGTACTCAAACAGTTCTGTGGATTGGTGACAGATTTTTTTTTTTCAGGTAAGTAAACTATTACCCCTGGATATTCATCTTTCTATGTAACTGGTTGAGAAATGGGAGTAAGAGTAAAGAAACTGTTTTCGAATAAATCTGGTGACAGCAGAAGAGAATATGAGACACATTGTGCTCACAGAGCCTAGAAGAGTGTGACAGTAGTTGAGGGCCATGCTGTTGTCTTAGAGTGAAGTGAGGAGAACTTACATAGGTGTGGTAGTCATGGGAGTGGAAGGAGGAATGAAATGTGAAAGCCCATTGGAGGCAGAATCAAAATGGCTTGGTCTTCATAGTCAAATATTAAGTAAGGAGGAGGAATTATTGGCTGACTTAGGAAGAAGTAAAAAATGTGAAATACCAATAAAACACCAGGCTTGCAATTTTAGTCAGGGTAAAGCTTAAGTGTTGTGTGATTCTAGATAGATTATTGAGCAGTTTTGTTCCATATATTTTATATCCCATATCTTTGAGCTATGATCCTATTGTTTATTTCTTGACATACCCAAACATTTTTAAACTATTGTGATACAGCTTTTATATGATAAGCCTCACCCTTTGAAGTGTACAGTTCAGTGGTTTTTAGTATATTCAGAGTTATGCAGCCATTACCATTAGCTAATTTCAGAACCCTTTCTTCTCCCCAAAAAGAAACCCCATACCCATTAGCAGTCGCTCTGTGTGCTCGTCTCCCCCACCGTTCATCCTGGCAACCTCTGATCTAATTTCTGTCTCTGTAGATTTGCCTATCCGGGATATTTCATATAAATAGAATCAAACAAAATGTGGCATTTTGTGACTGACTTTTCTTTGAAGTGATTATAAAACAAATGCCTGAAGAGGCAAAGCTTAGGATAGTTTGCTGTACAGCTTTGATAACTGAATTTTTTTTAAGTTGAAAATATTACTGTGTCTGTATATGTGGCATATTATCCTTAGATGACCCTTACTTCAATTATTAGAATTTTTTTCCCTAGTATTCTTGAACTGTCTCAATATTCAGTAGGAACCCCCCTTTGGAGACAAAGAGCAGTAAGAATTTGGAACACATATTGACAAAATGAATGTCATTTAATACAGTAGTGGAGTCGACCACTTTTAGGCGTCAACGCTGCTGAAAGTGTATATTAAGGAAAAGTTTACTTATCTTACTTATCTAGTGAAGGTACTAGAACTACTTCTGTCTTCTGTTTAGATTTCAACAAACATTTGCATAGGTATTATGCGGTTGTACAAATGTACTGTCTTTTGACCTGAAAATGCAAAAACTTCCTTTCTTCCCACTTTCTGAGACTCTGCAACCTTAAAGGAAGAGTGGGGTACTTTAAAGGAAAGGTGGTGATGGTTGGATAATGGGTGACAATGTCTACAATATACTTCCTTTTCCCAAAACAAGTTCCTGTCTACCATCAGCATCTCCAAAATTTGAAGATCAAGTGTGGTGTTAACCCATTAACTAATGACTAGACTTTGAGCAGTTGTGGAACCAAAATCTGAGTGAGTGCCTGGATGTTCTAATTCTGTTAAATCAGTGAGTGCACATTATATACAATACTCTTTTAGCTCAGTGGCAGATTTAAGGAGTGAGAGATAGATTTCTATGTTTCAGAAATCAAATACACAAAGAATAAAAATTTTTAATCCCATGATTCTTTACCTGAGTTTAATTTTTTGGAGAGTTTTTCTTTTAGATTTTCTTTTCCTTCCATTAAACTTTCACTTTGAAAGTTCCCAGGGTTTGGGCAAAGCAAGTGGGAAAGACACTTGCTTGGATTCTCCAGGGCAAGGGAGTTAAAGAAGACTTCTTTCCCTCATTTTATTATTGAATAATGTCATGAAAACAATTATTAAGGTGAATGGTCTACAGTAGAAGTTTTTAGATGCCTTCTCTGCAAAATAATTTGGTTTAGTCAATGCAAGGATGCCTTTGGTTAGCTGGAATGGAAGATGTGCAGGCTAGAGTGGTCTTGGCGAGTCTTCTTGGGGGAAATACGGCATTTGGAAGGGTAGGAAGCAGAAGGAATCTCAAGCAAGGGAAAGGTGTGGGCAGAGCCCCGGAGGACAGAACAGTTTGTGATGGACTTGGTGTCCACATAGATCTAATCAGTGGTCTTAGCTTTTGTGTTTTCAAAATTACCACAGTTTTTGTTCTAAAACTATCATTCCCTTGATTTTACTTTAGGCATGCTATCTGTGTATTTTGAAATTTAAAATAACGTTAGAGGAGAAATGAAATTATTTTGTTTGAGAAGGAGTTAAAAGGTTAAAGCATCTTGAGCTAAATAATTTTCTAATGGGAGATTTGGTACATCCCCAGAAGTTGTCTTTGGTTCAGAGAACAGTCTTCAGACCTAGAAAGGACTTGAGGAGTCCCAGAGAGGAGCCGCATGGTGTGAACCATTCGATTCTCACAACAGAATGGATAAAAACAATTTGAACCATGAAACCATGCAGATGTTCATATTTTGGATAGGGTAGGGTCAGTGCCATTGTCAGAGGAAAAACTCTTGGCAATCACAGGATGGGAGAGAAAGTTTCCATTGTAAAGAATACTCAAATGCCATTTAAGGAAATGGGTTCTTCTGCCCCTATTCTTTGGAATATTTAGGGCCAAGTTCTTAGTTTTTGACATAAAAATTTTAAAGTATTCTGTTCTGATTGCCGTTTCAAACAATTGACTAGAATTTCAGAGCAATTACATGAGAGTAATACCATTAGAATTTTTAAATTACCCATAGTCCTATATGCCTAACAAGTATGTTCATGCTTACGTGTTCTCTTCTTATCTTTACTGTGTGCATACTTTCTTAATAATGCCACATGGAAATTGTTTAAGCAGGAATACTCCTCAAGATAATTTTGTATGTTTCCTTTTTTCTTTTTAAGGTATGTATTGGGTAGAGGAGCATTATATATGGAACCTCTCACAAAACAGGTGATTATTTTCTTATTATACTCAATTTTCACCCTGAATAGAGTGTTTTGATTATGTAAGTTAGATCGTAAGTAGATGGCTCTCTTAAAGACATTTTAGTGGTTTTTTGTTTGTTTTGTTTTGTTTTGCTTTTTTCCGTAGCTCCTACTTTCAAGAATGAAAAAGGTATCCCAGCAGTTTGGGAGGCTGAGGCGGGCGGATCACGAGGTCAGGAGATTGAGACCATCCTGGCTAACACGGTGAAACCCCGTCTTTACTAAAAAATACAAAAAAATTAGCCAGGCGTGATGGCAGGCGACTGTAGTCCCAGCTACTCGGGAGGCTGAGGCAGGAGAATGGCGTGAACCCGGGAGGCAGAGCTTGCAGTGAGCTGAGATGGTGCCACTGCACTCCAGCCTGGGTGACAGAGTGAGACTCCATCTCAAAAAAAAAAAAAAAAAAAGAATGAGAAAGGTAAACCAGTAAAATAACATTGTGCTTGGTGCTGAACCTATGCTAGTATTGGCATTAACACTGACCTTTATTTAAGGTTCTAATTTGTTCATGTTGGGCACTTAGAACATCGGTTTGTTGTTTTTTTTTTGTGAGATTCTGGAAACATTCCAATTTTACCTTTTCCCCTTGACTCCAGACTTTTTAACACTGGTCTGCTACTGTTAAGTTGTATGCCATTTTGTTAGGCCTTCTCAAGTGGGAATCAGGAACGCTGCTGTGCTCTAGAGATGTTTTGTTCTTCCTGTAGGGCTGAAGCAGTGCCTACTCGATAGAATCAGTCATCATGCAAATAAAAGCCACCTGAGTCAAAGGCAAAGCCAGAGTGCAGCTTGGAGCAAAGAAGGTACTTTTATTAAGAATTTTACATAAACCATAAGATATATTTTATGCTACTTTGTGAGCCTTCTTCCTATCTTAATTCTTTTTGAGAGAATTCATTTCATTTTCATTTGGTTTGTTTTCTTTTTGTTAAAAAGATGATCTATAGAAAATATAGAAGTGTAAGAAAATTAAAGTTACTAACTGATAATCACTTAATGATTTAGTATCTGATTGTTTAGTCTTTGTTATATTTACTGTAGAGAAACATGTCTACAGTTGTAAATTTATTATTGTTATGTATACCATAGTAAAAGTTATATGTACTTTGAAGTTTTGCAAAATTGAGTTCATGTTATAAAATTAATTCCTGATGAACTTTTATGTGCTAGGCACTAGTCTTTTTATTTACTTATTTTTACTTTTTTTGTTTCCCTCTGTGCCTATGCTTACCAAGTCTTTTTATTTTTTACTTTTTATTAGCTCTTTCAATCCTCTTAATAACTTTAAAAGAGGGTATTATTAATATCTGCATTTTACAGATGAGGCAACTGAAGGTAGGTAACTTGTCCAAAGTCACAGGTGGCAGAGCAAGGATTGGAACCAGACAGTCTGACTGCCCTAGGCCCAACCAAGAGGAGCTGAGAGCAAGCCACGGGGCAGAAGGATGTTGGAGGCTGGTTTTCTGTTCAGTTAACATGAAATGCAGGCTGTAACCTTAATTCCAGGACATTACTGAGAAAGTCTTCCAAAGCCAGAGGGGTTTTTTTTGTTTTGTTTTGTTTTGTTTTCCATGACCATGACTTTTGAGCAAAAATTTGGTTTTGTTTAAAGGCAATATGGTGCTCTAAGAAACTTCCACTCACACTTATGGAGGGAATGGTAGTTGAGCTAAATAGTGAAATGCTGTAGCACACAGCCTTTAGGGCAGCTTCTGACCTATTTCTATGGTCAGGAAAGACACCTATCTTTGCCTGCTGCCCACAGCCTCTAGTTATTCACCTTCAGAATTTCCTAGTCTGTGATCACATTCAGATGAGAGATCCGTTTTGTTTTTTCCAGGGTAGCAGGAAGTGAGTCACCACCTATACTAAGCAGTCTAGTCTTCTGTGTATAAATGAGCAAGGGTGGGGAGCCAGATCTGAGAACCTTGTGTAATGCTGAGATGCTCCAAGAGAATCCAAGAGGATGTCAGGATTATGCATGGTGGTAAAGTGGTCTCATGTTAGTTGTACCCACAGCTCTCATCAGAAGCAGACACAGATACTTTTTGTAGGAAAACATCTCTAACTTAAGCCTGTAGGATTCCCAAAGATTAAAAGCAGGCAAATATGATTTCAGTCAAATCATAGCATTCAAGTAGTCTCAACCCAACATATTTGAGAATTGTTAGAAACAATGAATATGTTTCCCAAAGACTAGGTTTTGGAATTATCAGATACAGAACACAGACTTCAAATATTAGAATTGTGAGAAAATAGTTACATGTCAAACCTAATATAAAAGAAAGATGGACTCATTAAATTGAGCAACAGAAAGGCCACCAGGAATGAGGAGGAGGACCTGAAAAGAAAATGGATGAACTAGAACTTACAGAAATAAAATATATAGCTGGGTCTGGTGGCTCACACCTGTAATCCCAGCACTGTTTGGGAGGCCGAGGTGGGAGGATGGTATGAGCCCAGGAGTTGGGGAGACAAGCCTGGGCAACATGGTGAGAACTCGTTTCTGTAAAAAATACCCCAACACCACCAAAAAAAAAAAAAAAAAAAAAGTAGCTGGGTATGGGGCACGTGTCTGTAGTCACAGCTAGTCAGGAGGCTGAGGAGGGAGGATCACTTGAGCTCAGGAGGCAAGGGCTGCACGTGCATGCCACTGCAGTCCAGCCTGGGTGACAGAGTGAGACTCCGTCTCAGAATAAAATGAAATAAAGAAATAAAAAATGTAATTGTTGAAATAAAAAACTCAGTGGATGGATTAGACATCAGAAGAAAGAATTAGTTGGTTAGACAATTATCTCCCAAAAGTGAGTCAGTATGTTACACAGAGAGACATGAGGATAGATGATAGGGCAGAAGTTGGTGGGGTTGTAGGGGGAGGGAGACCAGAATGAGGTCTAAAATATGTCTTAGTGGAATCCCAGGAGGAGATATTAAAATTATATTAGAAAGTGAGAGAAATAGAAGTTCTAAAGGCAATAGAAGGAAGTCCACATAAATCAGTCACAACAAATGTAAATGGACTAAAGTTACCAGTTAGGTGGAACTAATAAAAGAATATCCAGCTGTTTTAATCCATCATATTTAAAATATAAGGATATGAGAAGATTGAAAGTTTTTATAAAGGAGAGAGAGTAATGAAGATATGGCAGTATACATTAACCAAAAACAAGTGATGGAGCTTCAGTATCAAAAAAGGATTTTGGAACAGAAAGCATTAGTAAGAAACTTGATGCTGACTGTTAATTAGGAGGATGTAGCAATTTTCATATTTTATGTACCTGTCAAAATAGCCTCAAAATGCAGGAGAAAAACTGATAAAACCACAGGGAGAAATTGACAAGTCTGCCAGCATATTTGGAGATTTCACCATACCCTGCTTACCATAAGTAAGTTACACAGAATGCCCATATGTAGATTTGAATAACCAGTGAATGGACATGGTGTAATGGACAAATATAGGCCTTTGTACCCAATAATTAGATATTCTATATTCTTCTCAAGCATATGTGGACTGTGGGAGAAACATTAATTATATATTAATTCGTAAAGCAAGTCAGAAGATTTAAAAACAATTGGTACCATCCACACCATATAATTTATAATTTAAATATGAAGCAATTAAGGTTAGAAGGCAATAATGAAGAGATTAACAAAAAGCTACATGAATTTGGAAATTAAACACCCTTGTAATTCATGGTATAAAAAACTCAATACAATTTTAGAATGCTTAGAATTGAACCATAGTTAAAATATGAAACTTCTCTCTGTTCCTGTCTCTCTCCCTCTCCCTCTCTCTTCCTATCTGGAACATTCAAGAAGCTAATCTTTTTCAATGAAGAACACCCCAAATACTGAAAAGTAGGAAAAAGACAGATGGCATTTCATGGTAATCCCTTCCCCCAAGAGTGTAGAATGTTTCTTTAGCTTCTTTGATAGTTTGTTTACTTATTTATTAAGTACTTACTATAAACCAGACTCTGCTTTAATTTGTGATGAACAACCTAGAGATTAAGTCCTGCCCTATGGATTTTATATTAGAGTGAGAAAAACAGATAGCTAAGTCTGGAGCTCAGGGGTGAGGCCCAGGTTGGAATTATAGATTCACTTGACCAAGGTGAAACCTGGTGTGCCCCCTCCTACTTCACATCCCCAGACATACTTCTGGAACATTTCTGTTCTATTCTTGTGTATAAACTCTTCCTTTTGAGCCTCTCTCCATTAATGCATGTCAACCTCTACTTGTCTTTTGTTGATTTTGAGGCCACTTGCCCATATAACTTGGAGGATATTGAAGAAGAATCATACCGACCTGGTTCTGCTACCTACCAGCTGAGTTACTTTGGTCAAGCTCTTGGACTTCTGAGGCTGTTTCCTAATTTCAAAAGTGGGTATATGATGTGTTAGGCCCTGGTGGGTTGCAAGGAAGAGGTACACACATACCACCTTTGATGATGAGGGCCGAATGTTAACTTGGATGGAAAGTCATCCAAACAGCGATATTGTCTCTGGCCCTAGTAATTTCAAAACCTCACAGAATATTAATTTAGCAGTATTTAGGATAGGGTTTGAGCTCTGAAGACCTACAGTATGGTTATTTGTTCATATGGCTGTTTTCCATACTAGACCATGAACTCCATGAGGGCAGGGTCTACAGTTTCATCTTTGTCTCCTAGGCACTCAGTTCAGTGCCTGATACATAATAATAGAGGCACAAATGTTTTAAGAGTTGAGGAATTTTCAACTCTTTCTGAAAGAATAGGAAGATATAAAGGCTTCTCAGAGACGGTATTATTTAAGCTGATTTTGTTTTTGTTTTTGAGATGAAGTCTTGCTCTCTCGCCCAAGATGGAGTGCAATGGCGTGATCTCAGCTCACTGCAACCTCTGCTTACCAGGTTCAAGTGATTCTTCTGCCTCAGTCTCCCGAGTAGCTGGGATTACAGGCATCCACCACCACACCCAGCTATTTTTTGTATTTTTAGTAAAGACGAGGTTTCACGATGTTGGCCAGGCTAGTCTCAAACTACTGATCTGAGGTGATCCGCCCACCTTGGCCTCCCAGAGTGCTGGGATTACAGGCATGAGCCACCATGCCCGGCTTATTTAAGCTGATTCTTTAAGGGTAAGTAGAAATTTTTTCCAGGTGAATAAAACCTTGAGCTATTATTCCAAGCAGAGACCAGTAGGTGCAAAGACACAGGGATATAGAGATGCTGAAGTTTACCAAACACTGCTAGATTAAAAAAACAAAAAGGAAACTATCAAAATCAAAAATTAAAATTAAAAATCACCTATAATACAAGCTATGAATGGGCTTGGCCAGAGGTCAGATCGCAACTGAGTTAACTATGACCGTAGACACTCAGTAATGGATGGAAGTTTTAGGGAAAACACATAACATTCTCAGGTTGTTGGCAGAGTATCTGGAACAATTTACAAATACGGGCATTGAATTCTGGGAATAATTACACTGTAGTGATATCATTTCCTTCTCTGCGTATGAAGCATGTATGTATTGCACACTGTTCAAGGTGCTGAAAATCAGACTCTTCTCGAGCAATCAAGGGAGATGGATGGGTGAGCAACTGATTATCATGTGACAAGTGAGGTAACAGAGATATGACTAAGATGGTATCTAAACAAGAAGAAAGGAATTATTCATAATATATGGAGTTCTGGGGAAATATTTCTCAAATGAAGCCGGCCGGGCCGGATGGCTCCCACTTGTAATACCGGCACTTTGGGAGGTGGAAGTGGGAGGATCCAGGAGGATCTAGGAGTTCAAGACCAGCCTGGTCAACAGAGCAAAGCCCTGCCTGTTTCTATATTTGAAAAAAAATAAGTAAATTTTTTTAATGAAATGATATTTGAGCACTCTGGAGCACCATACAAATATAGGACAGACTGAAGGAATGTATCTGGCTTGAGTTAACATTTATTGAAATTTTATATTGCAAAAATAGTACATATTCACTGTTTTGAAACTAGAAAGAATTGATAGGCAAGGAGGGCTGTCTACAAAGCACTCCATAGATCCACCATACTGAGACAATGCTTAATGCTTTGATGGATTTATTGTATACTATCTATGCATATGCATGTATTATATACATACATGTGCATGGTTAAATAGAAATATTTCTCCTTGGTGTTAATCCATTTATTGTTATGCAGTAAATCCCCAAAGAGCACATTTGCTTTGCCCAAGGGAGTCTTTTGCTACATACTGCTGTACATAATGAAAACTAAAAAATTGGCTAACTTTTCAGCCTTGTGACCTTGTGGTGATTCAAATAGAGGCTTCATCAAAGGCAGATTCAGAAATGAACTTGGTATGTGGGTGGTTATGCTTGGCATTATTGTTTGTAATAGTATGATAGGGATGACTTCAGTGTCCACCAACAGGGAACTGGTTAAGTAAACTGTGGTACATCCAAACGATGAATACTGTGCGGTTGTAAAGAAGAATGACAAAGACCTCTGTACTCATGTAGAAGAACTCACATATATTGTGTGTGTTTTAAGAGGAACAAGGAATGGTATAGTATGTATGGTATGCTACTTTTTGTGTTGAGAGAGAAGAGTAGAATAAGAATATACGTGTGTATTTGCAAACATAAATTCCTAAATGATATATAAGAAACCAATTAAAAGTGTTTGGCTGTAGAAGGAGAATAAGACTGTGAATGGGATTTGGCCACATACTTTTATAGGTAGTTATATTTAAAAATTTTCTGAACCATGTGTTTGTACACATGACCTTTTTAAAAATAAGTGAATGAAGGAATGAAGTAGGATTATGAGAAAGAGATAAGAACAAATGATCTAAGGGGCTGCCCATCTTTTTAGTACCCAGTGAATATTAATATATAACAATAGCAGCAAAAATTGGAAGAGTAGCCCCAGGAGGGTAGGGAGTCAGCCTTTCCTTTGTCTTTTCCTCAATTTCATATATTAAACAAAATAATCTGAGAACGATAAAACAATTTGAAATAAAAAATGTCTCCAGATCTCTTAAAAGGAAGCTGGGGCAGCTTTCTGTAGCGCACTTCCCAAAAATGGGCTGATTTACCTCAAGAGGCAGGGATTCTAGCCTACATGGGATACATACAGGAGAAAACAAAATCAGAAAAAGAAAAGAGATTTAAATATAAATAAATGAAAATAACAATTCTCCCTCATTATAAAGGAAATCATTCTTTTTGTAATAATTTGGATGACAAATATTAAGAAAAATCTTTAATTTGCCACTCAAAACATTGTGGTTTGTTGCTTTTTATACGTTTTTATGCACATAAACCTTTTAAAAAGTAGAATCGTAGTATGTAGTCTTTTGTCACTTACTATATTTTGGGCATATTTCTGTGGCAGTAAATATATCCTGGCATCATCATTTTTAATAGCTGGATGTATATTAAGTTAATCACTGCCACCCCAGAGGTGAATTTTCTTATACACACATTTTAATGGGCTCGAGCAAACATTTTTGGACTGAATTCATAGAAGTAGAATTTCTGGAGGAAAATAATTTTTAGGGTTTTTAATAGAAATTTTCAAATCATTCTCCAGGAAAAGTGACTCAGGTTATACTCCCACCAACAAGGACAGAGCTCCAGGTTCCCCTTTCCATTTGTCATCTTTCCTGCCTTTATACAGAAAATCTCATTGTTTTCATGACATTTCTTTGATTTCTTGTGCTTTTGAATCTTTGTATATGCCACTGGCCATTTTTATTCTTGTGAGAAGTGCCAGTTTCTCCATTGCCCATTTTCGGTTGAAAATCATTTGTTTTTTTTTCTCAGTAATTTTAAAGATTTCTTTATAGTCTAAGGATGCAAGCCTTTTATCTGTCATTGAGGTGACAAAACTTTCTCCCAGTAAGTAATTTGTCATTTCATTTTTTCTTCTTTTCTTTTTCCTTTCCTTTCCCTTTCTTTCTTTTCCTTGTTTCTTTCTTTCTTCTTCTTCCTTCCTTGCTTTCCTTTTCTTTCTTGCTTTCCATTCTTACTTTCTTTTCTTTTCCCTCCCTCCCTCCCTCTCTTTCTTTCCTCTTTCTTTTTCTTTCTCTTTCTTTCTTCTTTCCCTCTCTCTCTTTCTTCCTTTCCTTTCTTTTTCTTTATTCCCTCCCTCCCTCCTTCTTCCCTTTTTTTCTTTCTTTCTTTCACTAGCCAAGCTCCAAAGTCACATTTCACTTAATTTTTATCCTGCCAAATTTGAAAGCCTTTTAACTTCGTGATTTTAGTGTAAACAGGAGCAGGAGAAAATGTAATTATCTAAGTCTCGCTGTGTCACCCAGACTGGAGTGCAGTGCCATAATCATAGCTACTGCAGCCTTGAACTCCTCGCCTCAAGCAATTTTCCCACCTCAGCCTGCCAAGTAGCTAGGACTACAGCTATGTGCCACCACACCCAGCTAATGTTCAAAAATTTTTGTGGAGATGTGAATTCTTTATGCTGCCCAGGCTAGTCTTGAACTCCTGACTTCAAGTAATCCTCCCACCTCGGCTTGCCAAAGTGCTGGGATTACAGGTGTCAGCTACTGCTCCTGACCGAGAGTTTAGTTTTGTTTGCTAGTGGTGTTCTTGGTATCTTTTCATATTTGAGGTTTTGGGCTAGTGCTGAAGTATTACACTCACCATTCGAGGTCTACAGGACTTTTGGTTTAATATTGAACAGATGGAACTGTTTAGTTCTGCATCTTTGCAGGTATACAGAATGTGCCTACCAGGAATCTGCTTTATATCCATTGAAAGCAAGAAATAATACAGTAAAACTTTGCCTGGCTAGAGGCTTTGAAAGAATGGCGTATTCTGGTTTAATTCTATTACTTTGGAAGTATAAAGGTGAAAAAAATTCAAAACTTAAATTTCCTGTTGAATGCAATTTGAAAATATAGCCAATGATTCCACTTTTCTTCTCTAGTAAGGTTGGACATTCTGATCTACTTGGTGTTTTATTATAGAACTGCTAGTGTGCGTGAGTCTTACATTGTGAAGATACTTTTTTAAAACTTGAGATGTAAGAGGATGTAAATGGTTTTGTAGGAGATCAGGCTGGATGAGAACGGACACTTGTAAACATACTTTTTAGACTAAATCTCTGATTGCCGCTTGTTTTTCTTATGGAACTCATACAAATAAAACACATTGGATGGAGGGTGCGAGTAGGAAGGAGATTCTTGTCTTTTAATTGCATGTCATTGTTTCATAACAAGGCAGAACATATGGTAACCCTGGCTTTGGACCTACAGAAGGAAACACATTTTTCTACCTGCTGTATGCCAGAGGTTCTTGAACACTTGGAGGGATTACTGCAGCACAGATTGCTGAACCCTACTCCAGAGTTTCTGATTCACCAGGTCCAGGGTGGGGCCTGAGAATTTGCACTTATAAAAAGGTCTCAGGTGCTGCTGGTGCTGCTAGTCCATAGACTACATTTTGAGAACCACTCTTGTCTATTAAGTGTAAATTGTAGAACTCTAGAAAAAAGCTTAGTTCAGTCTGGGATAAGAAGCACACAGGTTATGGAGAAAATCATGAAAGATTCAACCCTTGATCCCAGCCTAGTGTGGATTTCAGGTAACAAGCAGTACACAGTGACATAACACAATTCTTGGTTTTCATGACTGCAAGTCATAGCCAGGTATCAAGTGAGAAATTCAGTTTCATTTGCAAGGCCTAGAGAGGCCTGGTGATTCTAGAAAAGTGGGCCTTGTATTTGTTTTAAACCAATAAAGAGCTTTAAGTGCTTATTAAATTGGAAGTTTTGTGTTCCTACTTATTTTGTATCTTATTTTATTTTATTTTATTTCTTTTGAGATGGAGTCTTGCTCTGTCACCCAGGCTGGAGTGCAGTGGCATGAGCTTGGCTCACTGCAACCTCCATCTCCTGGGTTCAAGTGATTCTCCTGCCTCAGCCTCCCAAATAGCTGGGATTACAAGCACCCACCACCACACCTGGTTAGTTTTTGTATTTTTAGTAGAGACAGGGTTTCTTCATGTTGGCCAGGCTGGTCTCGAACTCCTGACCTCAGGCGATCCACCCACCTCGGCCTCCCAAAGTGATGGCATTACAGGGGTGAGCCACCGCACCTGGCCCAAAAGCTTTGTGTTTTTAAAGATATTAGACATGTTTCTTGTTTTTAAAAGAAATCTTAACAATAATGTAGGAGAATAAGACAAACATTTTTCCAAAAAAGAGAAATCATTGTGATTATATTCTGTTATTGGAATGTCGGATACTATAGTCGGCTTCATTAATCATCAAGAATGCTATGGATTTTCCATTTTTATAGGATCTATATCTCAGTTAAGGTAATACTTGTAATTCTTGTGCTCCATTTGAAGATGAAAAATATAGGCCAAAATCATAGACTTTGCATAGAAGCTGGATAATGAAGACAGCTCTGGAGGAACACATAGATACACACAGACACACATATATAAAGTATACACACATATATTTTTTAAAGTTTATTTTTAACAGTTTTAAAGCTTTTAAAGCAAAAGCCAGCCCTTCCCCTCTCCCAGAGTGGGTGGCCCCTCCCCTCTTAGTGGGCGGGGACAGCAGTTGCATGGGCAGCTTTCCTTATGATGCCACAGGTCCCTCTGGACATGCTGCTGCCTGGCCACGCCTCCTTTCCCTTTCATCTTTCTCACTGACCAATGGGCTTGGAGCCTTAAGGCCACGCCCCTATTCTGCGTTCCATTGGTGCCCTGGTTACGCCACCTGTGGCTCAGTTGCACAGCTGCCTGGTAGGTGACTGGAGGCATTGAGCAGTGCTCACTGGTATTTCGCTGATGTGGCCCCAACCCCGCCTCCCTCCCCACCCCGCGATGTCAGAAAAAACACAACAGGGGAAATTGGCCGCAGCCAAGAAAAAGGTAAAACACACCAGGTCATGGCCCCCAACCCAGCCACAGATCCCCTCCGATGACAAGACCGGTGCCAGAGTCCATACCACTCCTGAGGCATACCAGATGGGGCCCCCCAACCCCAGCCCCTCTGGGCTCCCCCAACCAAAGCCTAGTCAGTCAGCCCCACCCCTTCAGCAAGCAGCCCAGTCCCTGCCCTTGCCAATCACCCCAGGGTGACTTTGGGCAGGTGACTCCTGGGGCTCCCTGCTCCATAATCAGCCCTCACCTCCTGCCACCCCAAGCCCAACCTCCCTGGGCTCTTTGGGCTTGCGTCTCCCAGGACCTGGGTCCCCCAGCCCCAGGCCCTGCCCTCACCAGTCATCCCTGGGTGGCTTTGGGCTGGTGACTCCCGGGGCTCCCTACTGCAGACTCTGCCCTCCCCTCCTGCTGCCCCAAGCTCGACCTCCCTAGGCTTCTTGGGCTGGCGTCTCTGAGGACCTGGGTCGAAACCGTGTGTTTCCCTCCCCCATCGTGGAGCAGCGACTCGGGCATCGCGCTGATGTGGTCCCCTCCCCTGGGAGGAGTGGAATGCAATGATGTCACAGTGCCCCTAGGAACTGTCATTACTGCTGCAAGACCGGCCTTTGATCTTACAACCCAGTCCCCTAAGTTTTCTCACCCCATTTCTGGTTCCTCTGGTTGCAGCACAAATTTCCAGCTGGAAGGGGAGTGGAGACTATGGGACCTAGGAGCAAGAGGTTTCAGGCTGCCTTACTCCCTTAACATAGACATTGACAGTGGGAAAAGCCTACACTTCCCCTGTGAGCTCAAAATGTTCACAGTATCTCTGGGTGGCAATGGGAGAATGGGTTTGGTTTGGTTTTTTCCCAGGCTTCTACTTTCCAGAGAGACTTTAACATTTTTTTCTGAGTTCTCCACGGTTCTGGGACCAGACTGCCCTTCAGTCAGTGGCCTCTGAAGTGAGATTTGCTCATCTTCTGTGGAATAGATCTTGGGAAACTGAACTTGACAGCTTGAATCTTCCTCATATCGTCTCAACCTGGGGTACTTTGAGTGCCACAGGATAAATGTGGGACATCTTTCTGAAGCATCATTTTCCCTTGATTCTCTTGAGAAAATGCATTAATGTACTTAGGGATGACAGACACATAGGTTTCCAAGCGTATACCAGACTTCGCTCTGAAATGAGGCTTGGGTTGTCCTCTTTCTGATAAATTCCCAGATTTAATAGAAAAGCTGCCTTCTGCCATGAGGACACATTGATATGAAAGTGTGAGAGGTACTGGTACGCTTCTTCACGCTAGCAGACCTGTGAGGATGTATGACTCTAAACCACACGGCCTACAGTTCCTGCCTGCTTAATGTTTACTTTTCTACCTCTGCCCCTGGTTTTGGTCCCTGGAAGCTGCTGATTCATGGCAAAACCCCAGAGCTTGGAGTCAGAGGACTGAGTTTAAGTTCCAGTATTGCCTTTTTTGATCTTTCTTTTTTTTTTTTTTCTATCCATGATATCAATCCCTCTCAGTCACTAAGTGATTGTGACAACACCTTGTACAGTTGTTGGTGGCATTACATCAGATGGTATATAAGGGTATTTTGTCAAAACTGTAAAGGAGGATGTGGCTGTAGGGGCTGATCATTCTCATGAGTGTTACCGCTCTTCTTTCCCACAGTTAAAAGCATATTGGCAGAGGAAGAGCCCTGGCATTCCAGCAGGAGCTAACAGGAAAAAGAAAATCAATGGCAGTAGCCCTGACACAGCCACTTCTGGTGGTTACCACTCACCTGGGGATGTGAGTCTCGGCGGGCCAGGGTCCTGGGGACAGGGGGCCCAAGGGGCAGTAGAGGGTAATTGTTAAGATTGTAGATGGACTGTTGGGTACTGGTTAAGAATTCTGGATTTGAATCCTGCCTCTCCATCTGCTAAGAATTGATTAGGGATTGATTAGCATATGATTTAGGGCAAGTTGCTTGAGGTCTTTGGGCCTCTCTTTTCACATCTGTATAATAGAGGTGGTATTTTTTGACTTCCATTTGTGAAGTTTAAATGAGATTCGTTATTGTTGCTTTTATGTGAATCCTTAGTACATGGCCTGCTGCAAACACCCAGGACACCGAGGAAATGGTCGTTGCTGTTTGATTTTCCTCATCCCCAGTCTCAAGGGGAAGCCAGGCCAATGAGAAGAGCCACTTGCCATCAGGCTGTCCCTTTAGGAGTCACTGAAAGGGCCCCAGGGTGGGATGGTGGGGAGATAAGAACCACGAGAGAAGTTGGCACAAAGGAGTTATGGGAAAAAGGGTCCAAGATAGGCAGAAAAGAAGCTTTTGCCAGTTGATGGGGGAAGAAAGGAAGTCAGAGGGCTTAGACAGTGAGGGGGGACAGAACATCTCCATGTGCACTCTCATCTCTTGCAGTCAGCAACAGGTATCTACGGGGAGGGCCGTGCATCCTCTACTACCCTGGAGGATCTGGAGGTAAGAGGCCCTGGGCCGAGGTGCAGTGACCCTGCAGGCCAGCCCTCCAACCTCCTCCCACAGCAGGGGCTTGTTGCCCCTCTGCCAGCTGAGGCAGCCCACACACCCCCACCAGCCCTAATGATTATTCTCTCTACCCCTCCCCACAATCTTCCTCCAACTCCTTCTCTCTGCATGCACCTCAGAGCCAGTACCAAGAACTAGCAGTGGCCCTGGATTCAAGCTCCGCAATAATCAGTCAACTCACTGAAAACATCAATTCACTGGTAAGAGTCCAGTGGGGTCCCCTGATTACAGCTGGTCAATCCTGGACTCCAGTTTCCTCTTGGGGCCCTGAAGAAAGGAGCTAGGGGCCCCTGATGCCAAGGGCAAATGGGGAGCTGGGCACCCAGGTCTCACCTGGAGGGACCCCAGAGCACAGAACATGCAGCATGGGTCTTCTGCACTGCCCTCTTTGCTGACTCTCTCTTCTCCAGACACCCCTGCTCTAGTCCTTGCCACACATGCCCTGGGGTTGTCACCTCTCTGGGAAGCACTAGCCTGACTGGTTGTCAGGGGTCCATATTTCTGCCCTGCCTCAGTCCCTAATTTGCTTTTTGAGTCTGGACAAGCCATCTCTCCTCTTTATGCTCGTGTTTCTGGAGGAGGTAGAGAGTATCAAAGGTCTCGGTTAGCTCTGAAAGTCAGAGATTTAAAGGCCCCTAGAATGGAAACCTCAGGGCCAAGGGCTCCTGTCTGTCCTTTGCTGTTTTATATCTCTGCTATGAAGAACTGTACCTGGCCTGTACATGCTCAGTAAATGTTTGTTGAATGAATGCACGTTTCTAAATCACAAACTGGCAGAAGGGGGGTGGGCCCTTCTCAAACTCTGTCTCTAGAGGTTCACCAGCCCCTCCCTCCAGGGCCCTTTTCCCCCTTTGCTTTGGGCAGGTTCGCACATCTAAGGAGGAGAAGAAGCATGAGATACATCTGGTACAGAAGCTTGGGAGGAGCTTGTTCAAACTCAAAAACCAGACGGGTAAGATGGGGCTGGCATGACCTGGCAGCTGGACTGGCATTAGAGGGCTGTGGGGGTGACTTAGAATGCCCCAGGGAGGTGGGTGGATGGAAGGGCTTTGAGGCAGAGGGAAAGAGGTCTGTGCCAGGGGAGGACAAGTCTTGTCATCTCCATGAGCCTCAGTGTCCCCATCAGTAAAGAGGGAGGAGTGCCCATTGTCAGCCACCCACAGTGCTCTCTATCTGAAAGTGACTTGGAAGACTGGCTACCATCCGGGTGTGAGGAGTCATTAGCAGTGAGGCCAAGTTTGGGAAGCCTGAGAGGAGGAGCTGTGCACCGAAGGGAGGATTTTTTTTTTTTTTTGAGAATCCAGAGGCCCTTATTGTCTGCTTCCTTTCTCAGCTGAACCCCTGGCCCCAGAGCCCCCAGCAGGGCCATCTAAGGTAGAGCAGCTACAAGATGAGACCAACCACCTAAGGAAGGAGCTAGAGAGTGTGGGAAGACAGCTCCAGGCTGAGGTGGAAAACAATCAGATGTTGAGTCTCCTGAACAGGAGACAGGAGGAGAGGCTACGTGAACAGGAGGAGAGGCTACGTGAACAGGAGGAGAGGCAACGTGAACAGGAGGATAGGCTACATGAACAGGAGGAGAGGCTACGTGAACAGGAGGAGAGGCTGTGTGAACAGGAGGAGAGGCTGTGTGAACAGGAGGAGAGGCTACGTGAACATGAGGAGAGGCTGTGTGAACAGGAGGAGAGGCTATGTGAACAGGAGGAGAGGCTACGTGAACAGGAGGAGAGGCTACATGAACAGGAGGAGAGGCTACGTGAACAGGAGGAGAGGCTGTGTGAACAGGAGGAGAGGCTACGTGAACATGAGGAGAGGCTGTGTGAACAGGAGGAGAGGCTACGTGAACAGGAGGAGAGGCTGTGTGAACAGGAGGAGAGGCTACGTGAACAGGAGGAGAGGCTGTGTGAACAGGAGGAGAGGCTACGTGAACAGGAGGAGAGGCTGTGTGAACAGGAGAAGCTGCCAGGGCAGGAGAGGCTGCTGGAAGAGGTGGAGAAGCTGTTAGAACAGGAGAGGCGGCAGGAGGAGCAGGAGAGGCTGCTGGAGAGGGAGAGGCTGCTGGAAGAGGTGGAGAAGCTGTTAGAACAGGAGAGGCAGCAGGAGGAGCAGGAGAGGCTGCTGGAGAGGGAGAGGCTGCTGGAAGAGGTGGAGAAGCTGTTAGAACAGGAGAGGCGGCAGGAGGAGCAGGAGAGGCTGCTGGAGAGGGAGAGGCTGCTGGACGAGGTGGAGGAGCTCCTGGACGAGGTGGAGGAGCTCCTGGAGCAGGAGAGGCTTCGGCAACAGGATGAGAGGCTGTGGCAGCAGTAGACTCTGCAGGAGCTGGAGAGGCTGCGGGAGCTGGAGAGGCTGCGGGAGCTGGAGAGGATGCTGGAGCTGGGGTGGGAAGCCCTGTACGAGCAGCGGGCCGAGCCACGCAGCGGCTTCGAGGAGCTGGTGCGTTGCCCCACCTGGGGAGGCTGCCCTCTTCCCTAGCCCTCAAGGCCTTTGTTTCCCCACCTGTAAAATGGGGCATTGTAGCCTTCACATGAAATGGTACTTCTAAAGGCATCTGTGAGCCAGAGCCCTGCTCTGATGGCTGTGGGAGAGAGGGGATATTTTTCTAACCTGCCTCCACCCTTCCCGGTGCCATGGGAGGCAGACACTAAGTTCTGGGGTCTCCAGTTTTAGTGGGTGGCCACTGATTGCTTCTCTCTGTCCAGAACAACGAGAACAAGAGCACACTGCAGTTGGAGCAGCAAGTAAAGGAGCTGAAGAAGTCGGGTGAGCTGAAAGAGACTGTAACCTCCGACCCATCCAAGAAGATGTGGGAGGTGGGCACCAGCCTCTGGGGAGGGGAGGTGCCAGGCCACAGGCAGCTGCAGCCTGGGGACAGGTGACCCCAGCACCCTCCGGGGCAGTCCTATGACTGTTTCTTGCTTCCTGCCCTCTGACTTTTAGAGGTGGGTAGCCCTGGGGTCCTCCCAGGTCTGGACATCATCATCCCAGCTAGAGGCATGGAGCCCCCCAATCACAGAGGAAGAGACAGTGGTATAAGAGGCTCCTTATGTCGGGTGTGGTGGCTCACGCCTGCAATCCCAGCACTTTGGGAGGCTGAGGCAGGACAATCACTTGAGGTCAGGAGTTTGAGACCAACATGGCCAACATGGTGAAAGCTCATCTCTACTAAAATTAAAAAAAATAATAATAATTAGCCGGGCCTGGTGGTGCATGCCTGTAATCCCAGCTACTCAGGAGGCTGAGACACGAGAATCACTTGAGCCCGGGAGATGAAGGTTGCAGTGAGCTGAGATTGCACCACTGCACTGCAGCCTGGGACACAGAGTGACACTCTCTCAAAACAAAACAAAACAGACAAACAAAAAAGACTCCTTAGATTCAAACTGGATTCCGGCCTCGGTTCCACTGGTCATAATTCAACTACTTTGCATCTCTAAGTCTCTGTTTCTTTAACTTCAAAAGGAAGTTAGCCTTTTCCTTGCAGAGGTGCTGAGGATTAAATGAGATAATACGTGGAAACATTAGGCATGTAGCACACTTAGCAGATGGTGGTTGGCTCCGCCTGCTTTTCCACCAGTCTGTGGCCTACAGTTTAAATGCTGGGAAAAAGGACGTGAGATTTGATGCTAGGGAAGGAGGCATGGGGTTCTAGGCAAGGGAGACAGTCTCTTAGGCCTGGAGCAAGGGGCCAGGGGCCTGGGCAGGCCACAGAGCCCCACAGTGTCCTCGCTACCCTATTAATGGGCCAGGAATCTGGAAGCCAGCCACCACATGTCCTCATGCCCAGGGTCTTCCGGCAGGTGGAGCTGAAGAGCCAAGAGGCTCCGAGTCTGCAGCAGCAGCCAGACCAGTAGCTGGAGCCCCAGTCCCACAAGGAGCTTGGATGTGCGGACAAGCAGGGTGGTGAGTAGAGCCCTCAGGCGGGGTGGGCAGGCAGGAGCAGGGGAGGCTCGCACTGTGCCCAGATTCCCACCCCCCTCCCTCTCTCTGAAGATCTTAGTGGGCTGAGCCTCACTGATAGCATGGAGGCTGCACCGGGAGAGGACAGGGAGGGTTCTCCCCCATGACAACCCCACTGCACAGCAGATCCAGCAGCTGCTTCCTCTAATGCAGGACTCCCCAGGAGCACCCAGGCTTGAGTGGAGAAGCTGTTGGTACAGGAGAGGCGGCAGGAGGAGCAGGAGAGGCTGCATGCCATTCTTTTCGGGCTGCGGAGAACAGGGAGCTAAACATCACCATCATCTAAGAGCGGGTCAAGGAATTGAAAAAAAAAAAACAAAACATTTAAGGGGTTAATATCCTACACAATTCATTTACTTCATTTGAATGTTAGAGCCACTTATGTTTATTTGTGTTTCTAATTTATAGTTTAAATTTATTTGTGTTTCTAATTTATAGTTTAAATTTATTTGTGTTTCTAATTTATAGTTTAAATTTATTTGTGTTTCTAATTTATAGTTTAAATTTATTTGTGTTTCTAATTTATAATTTAAATTTATTTGTAAAAAGTTAAATGAGAGTGGGTGTTTCTCTCATGTTCACTCTGGCATCTTTTAGCATTTTTTTAATTTGATAATTATAGGACGTTAGCATGCATATCGAGTTTGCCCTTATGTGGTGGGAGTTCAAACACACAAAGACCCACTGTATGCACACAACTGTTCTTGCTGGTTTGGGATAGGCTGCCATGCTTTTTTAATGTTAGTACAGCCTGTATATTCATTACGGAATTCAGATAAAATTTCCTTATGTTCTGCTGTTATGTTTGATCGAATCCTAATCACAGTGAGCTCTTCATTAGCTCAATATGCAGTTTGCCCTCAAGTGCGCGGTCTATTACTTTGTAATATGCCACTGTGAGTACTGACATTTACAGTTGTTTAAAGGTGGAGCACTGGAAACAGCCTTTCCCCCTTTTTCTGTGTATTGGGGATGGGAGTAATAACATTTTGGGGAGGTTTTTAAATCTCCCAGAAGAGGAAAGTGGCCTGCTTTGGCAGGTGTGTGCAGGATAGAATATGTTTCATTTGTTTCAGTGCCAAGAATGAGTGCTGTACTACAGTAGTTCCCTTAGGATTTGTATGTGCTCTGGGCTCATGAAGATACTGCCTCATGAGCTGTGGCAGTTGTACTCTTTTTTGATGACCTGAAAAGGGATTATTTCTGAGGAATGAAAGGCTCCCATCATGACTGTGGATGTGGAAAACCTTTTCTAGCTGAGAGCATTTATATCTACAATACATTTTAAAGTCAGAGTTCATGTTCCCTGTTTTAATCACATGACTACATGTCCCAGTACACAAAAGGGCACTGGTTGGCGTTCTCCTTAATGTATTTAGTAAAGATCAGAAGAAATCCTTTAAGAGTTTAAATGCCCCTGGAACAGGCATATACAGGCTCTAGTCAAGAATGAATTCGAGTGAAGGAAAGCTGTGTGACACCTGGCATTCCTCTGTGTTCATGGAGCTTATTTGAGGCTAGAAGATGGATTTTACCATCTAGACCTCTCTGGCTAATAGCTAGTCTTCAACCATCTGACATAGGAATTTACTTCTTTTCCTTGAATGGAGAACACTTTAAAAATAATAACAAACATTATTATAAACTAATATATGTGAGAGTACTTAGTTGAAACAAAAAGGAGTTTTAGTAGACAGTATTATACTACATTTGAAAATCAAGGAGCAGTTTATGCAACGTAAAATGTTTACAAACTGCAGCGCAATCTACTGTTTGTGACTGTCAAAGTGTCATGAGGAAAGTGTCTATACAATCACAGAGTTATATTTCCTCACAAAGTTCTTTACGAAGAGTGAAATATGTTTTTATACCTCTCAGTTTCAGTTAGAGGCATATTTTGTGTAATATTTATGGCTTAAAATGGACTAAAGGTCCTGTTCTTGCCTTTTCTGAACTTGCCGCTTTTGCATTCTTTGAGTTCAGTTTAAAGACACTTACTTTAACTCCATTTTAAACCCTCGGGCTAGAAATCGTACCACTGTTAATTAGCCACGTTATTTGGTCTAACAGTTTTTGTTTATCATTCTGAAACTGAGCTTATCTAATACATTGATAAATTATTTCAAAGGTATTTTTATAGTTCAAATCGCTTCACTTTTACCCTGACACGTATAAATGAATAGGAATGACCTTCAGATAGCGTTTAGCAACTGTAACCAATCTGACAATAATGTGTTCATCAGGTACCTGTGGATTAAATCACATACTGGCATATTTAAGATGAATGTCAGTCTGAAAAATAAATATACTATATTAATTCAAATACGACTCTGTGTAGGTATTTTGTCATATGTTTAAGAAAAAGCTAAAGAGAATGGAAATCCTATGACAATAACTCAAGTCTTTCTTCAAAGTGCATGCAGTCTTTTGCAGTACCTCATTCAGCCAAGTATTTGTTCTCTACCTCATTCAGTATAAGGCAGCCTTTAATTTGCTTAGAAGGCAACATTAGAAGGTTAGAGTTCAGCAGGAACATAGAATTTTAAAATGTGACTTCAACTGAATAAATTTGAATTTCTGTAGGGAGTAAAGAATCAAAACACCTATTTAAAGACTGCAAAATATGATAATTATTTTTAAAGTAATTGATTAAACCTGGTAGGTTTTCCCAAAATGAAAAACAATCAGTTCTAAAACCAAAGCTGATTTTTAGAAAATGTGAAAATGTAAATCAACCCTATCCATAATAGATTCTCTAAAACTTTATCTTACAGTCACTTTCAAATAACTATTCAAAAATGTAACTGCTATATTAACGTCTTAAAATAATTTAAAACATTTTAAAATATGAATACTGTAGTTTAAAACAAAGAATCTAGGGGAAGGAAAAGTAGACAAAGAAATGCCAATTCCAGTCCAAAGCTGTATTTGCCAAGTTTTCTTAGAATGACTTTTACCGATTTATGAATTCTTATACACAGAATGCATAATGGAAATACTGATTTTTGTCTAAAGTGGCATTATTGACTGCTGCTGTGATGCTACTGTAATGTAATACATTATTAAATTGTTTCAAGGTGCTGTTTTGCCTAAAAATTTTGTGTGTCTTGAAAACTATAGTATTGGGTATTGAGACTCTGCAAATTCTCGGCATGCTTGGCATGAGGTAATCGGTTTTTATTCTTACAAAATTGTAACTATGTAAGTGTGTTTATTAAAAGAACACAAA
The DNA here is from genome assembly GCF_000001405.40 of Homo sapiens. Taxonomy (NCBI): domain Eukaryota; kingdom Metazoa; phylum Chordata; class Mammalia; order Primates; family Hominidae; genus Homo; species Homo sapiens. The sequence continues at coordinate 84,506,980 of NC_000015.10, read as the reverse complement.
CTAAAAAAGTTAACAGGAATTAAAGTTGTGGGATGAAAAAGTTACAGGATAAAAAAATACTGTGGAAAAGTGGCAAAAAAAAGTTGTGGAAAAAAAGTAAAAAAAAAGTTTTATGAAAAGTTATTTTAAAAAGTTATGAAAAATTAGTTACAGGATTTAAAAAAAGTCATGGGATAAAAATAAAAATAAATAAAAGCAGGCCCCTGTCAGCATAAGCCTGGAGAAGTGGGTCTGGAGTCTTCACCCCCACCATGTCCCTACAACCCCTCCCCAGTCAGCCCTTTACCATTAGGGTAGCAAGACAAGACCCTTGTCTAATGGAGGGAGACAAACAGACCCTTTACCACCTTGACCAAGGCTGAGTCCTTACATTTCTGGATGATGATGTTTGTTATTTAAGAGCCAGAGGTTGGTGGAGTTGGTTTGTTTGGAGGAGGTCTGACGGCCTTCTTACTCTCACCAAAGCAACTTTTCCCTCAGGGGGGCTCCCATCTTCTTACTCAGAGAGGCAGCTGAGGCGGGACAGTGGAGTTAACTGTAGACCAGGCCAGGGCACAGGCTGCTGGGGGTGGCCCCCCTTCCCCCGTGTACATACTGTAGCTGTGTAACATTCTGTATCGTACCTAGCGGAGGTTGCAGCTGGCATATGAGGAAGAGGTTCTTATAATTATTCGCGGCTGGGAAACTTATTTATTGCTAGCATAGGAGCGAGGAAGCAGGCGGGGATGGGGTCATGGCTGCCTGGTGATGGGACTCCTGTTTTTTGTTTTTTGTTTTTTGCTTTTGATTTTGGAATAAATGGATTTAGCCATACTGCTCGGCCTGGTATGTTCCCATTTCCCTCACTGGGTCCTGCAGTTTGTCCCACTGAATGAGGAGCCCCAGAGTGTCTCAGCATGTCCAGCTGGGCTGTTGGGGACCTTCCAGGCCTGTTACCTGTATGCTGCCTGGTGACACCTGGTGGATTTCATGGGGACTGCCATGGCGCCTACGGAGTACACTCTGGCCCTGACAGCCAACTGGTTGAGAAGCCTGATCTAGCTGTGGCAGGGAAGACAGATACCAGTGCCCAAGGGCACTGACTTCCATCCACCCCAGGTGTCTTCCGTTCTGTCCCCCTGCCTCCCTCTCCTGTCTGCACCGGGTGGCCTGTCTGTCCCTCCAGAGTGCCGGCTGCCCCGCAGGTTCCCTCCAGGCTGAGTTCAGGGCCCTGTCCCCTAGTGGCCAGAGCTGGCTTCACAGGGTAAGAGCCAGCTAAGCTCCAGGGACTTTCCAGGAAAAGTGTCCCTTGAAAAGGGTGTGACCTTTTCACTGCTCCCAACAGCACCCTAAAAATGGCTTGGCCTTTTCCATCCCCTGAGCTCCATAGAGAACACAGCCAGCAGAGGACACATTCTCTGTCATCCAGAAATGGGTTTCTCAGCCAAGGGACAGCAGGACTGGTAGAGACTGTCAGGCCACACAGCTGCCTGCACAGCACCGCCATGCTTGGCCAGAAGGGCGGGAGGGATGGCGGGGGCTGGCTGTCCACAGGCCGCGCATGTCCCGGAAGCTCACTGGAGGTGGTGCACTTTGGAGGGGCGATGTCAGGAGACAGCTTCCTCTTGCTGGGCTACAAGATTCCACAAGCACAGCACGGGACTGATTCCCAGTGCTAGAGGTGAGGCAGTTGGCCACGTATATATATGTATATATGTGTGTGTGTGTGTGTGTGTGTGTGTGTGTGTGAGAGAGAGAATTTATAGCTATTTATAGAACAGGGCAGGGGCATACCACAGAGGGGGCACAAGTTTTCAGCAACGGTCACACCTGGACGTGTCAGCTCACCACTACAACAGACTAAGTCACAGAAGAAGGGGGCTGGCTTTGGGGCTGGGGGAGCCACTGTCAAGTCACAGGACACCCGCCCAGGCAGGCTTGGAAAGGGAGGTCTCTGAGAAGAGGAGGGATGTGTTTAGAGGTCGAAGTGGGGCCTGGGGCTCTCAGGACGGGATGGACTTGCCTGACCCGATCAGCTGGCAGTTGGAGAGAAAGCAGAGAGAAAACGGGTTAGAGAAAAGCCAGAGCTGGTGAGGCAAGTGCAGAGTATGGGTGCGCTGCAGCAGCTGTGGAGGGCCGGGGAGGGGAGGGCGTAGGTGTGGGCGTGGCAAGGTTCCTGGAAAAGAGGGGCTGGAAGGGAAAGGGGAGGGAGATGGAGGGAGAAGCTGGAGCTTCATAGGTAGTGCCTGGGGACTGCGGCGGCCCTCCCTACCCCACACACGCTGGCCTGTCTCATGGAACCCAGGCAATCCACCCATCCACCCACAGTTCAGACCAATGCCAGCTCCCTCGGGCTTCCCTCTTCTGTGGTCCCCATGTCTTCCAACGCACTGGCCCAGGGCCACCTCTTGCTTGGAGAGCCCCATCCAACAGCCACCAGACCTGATAGAGAAGGAACACTGATTGAACCAAAATGGTGGAGCTATAAGGGATGGCTGGCTGGAGTGAATGCCAGAGGCCCCTCTGGGCCATCAGAAAGCCCAGGGTCCTCTGAGGAACCCTGGGGAAGGCAGGGAGGGCAGGTAGCCGGATGCCATTGGCCATAGACTTCTAAGTCTAAGAGGGGAGCCTTAACTGGTTGGCGGGGGGCTGCAGGTTACATAGGTGAGGCTGGGCCCTTCCTGCTGGGAAAAGCAGAAGAGGGAGACTCCGTGGCAGGAAAGGGAAGTGAGCTCTCTAGGCGGCGCTCAGCTGGGCCAGCAGCACTATTGGCTGAATAGCACAGGCAACCCCTAGAAGCAACAGGCCAAGGTGCGTGAGCCTGCTGGCCAGCAGTAGTGCTTCAGCAGGGGCCAGGGACCCTGCCTTCAGTCGCACGCTAGCAGCTATCATGGTACCTGGGAGGGAGGGAAGGGGGCTGTGTGTCCTTCCATGGCCTATGAAGTGTGTTGTGGGATGACCGCGTGTATAGGACTCTCAGGCTTTTATCCTAGATCACCACTGGATTGCTGACAGATAGAGGACGTGGGACCGTGACTATCACCCCTAATCTGCCGTGGATTTGGCTCTTGGCACTCCCAGGCTGGGAGCTGGATACCTGCCCTGGCAGCATGACTCAGACTGCGTGACAGGTACGGCGTGCCCAGGATGATGTTCCCAGGCCTCTGGCCGCCTGAGTCCAGCCCCCCACACAACCCCCTCCAAGCTCCCAGCCCCTACACCATAAACCATGAGCTCTGTGCCCTCTCTGATGGTTCCACAACTGCCACCTTGGGCATGGAGCCTGTTGTAAGAGCCCCCAGGCTCAGCCATGGAGACCTTGAGCAGTGGCACTGAGTCCCATGGCTCACAGGGAGCAAAGTGAGACAGCCAGCAGCACAAGGACAGAAAGAGGAAAGAGCAAGTCTGCAGCTCCAGAAGGGAGGGGCAGGGAGCCTGGCTCTGAGGCTCCAGGTATGCCCCCTGTGTGGAGCTGGGGCAGCGGGGCAGGCAGACCATTCATGCAGCAGGCAGTGAGGCATGTACCTACCATGGCTGACGCTCCTCAGGGGCCACTGATAGTGATTCTGAAAGACAGCTTCAAATCACATGGCAGGTCACATGCATGGGTGGGGCAGGCCTGGGGGTGGGGGACACACACACGCACATGCCGGAGTGTGCACACACATGCTGTGAGGCCCCACGGCCCACATGCACACACTCACACACATGCCCACAAACAACACGCATACGTCGCCCTCCCCGCCACCTCCCAATGCCCAGCACCCTCACCGGCCGGCACGTGCCGCATGGATCTGGGGCGTGCAGCCACTCGGCACGCTGAAGCACATGCGTGGGCAGAGTCACAACACAGATGCTCACCTGCACACAGAGGCATTTGCACCAGCTCCCTGCACACTCGTGCCTGGCGTGCTCAGAGGACCACCCATGCTGCTCAGGGAGACAGGGCTTGCTCACTAATGTCCGGCTGTCATTTCTCCACCTAAGAGCCTTCCATGGCTCCCTACTGCCTACAGCGTTGAATCCCAACAAGTCATACTCTTTGGACTTTGAAGGTTCTCCACCCTGTGCCCCACCCTCCCCACAGAGCTCTTCCTCATTCTGTCTCTGTTCCCTGCTTTGGCCAGTGGCTATCCGCGATGTGACCCACACTACACCTCTGCCCACACTGCAGCTCTTTACCCAGTTGCCCTCCAGTTCCTCACCACGTATGCCTATCTCAGTCATGCCCCAGACTGCATTGAAGCCAGGCTGCCTTGAAGAAGCTCTCCCAGACTGCCCTTTTCCCCAAGGCAGGGTCATGATTTACCAAAGGTTTCGTGTGTGTTAGCAAGACTGGAGTCGGAGCAGGCATCAAACTTTACATCCCATATGTCACACCTCACCATAGATCTGGGTGCCAAATAGCCTGAAGAGTCTGAACTCACGTTGGAAGTTAGCAAAGTGCTCCTACAGCCGCATCTGCAGTTAACATAGTATCCCTATGGCCACTGTCTCCCTTGATCCCCACAGCCATCCTAGGAGAAAGGCAGAACGTCATTTGCTAGAAGGGATGCTGAGGCTCTGGGAGGGAAAGGGACTTGCCTAAAGCCCCAGGGTGAAGCAGCATCTCTGGACTCTCATAGACAGCCTAGAGCTGCCAGCATTCCCTTAGGATCTGTGCCCTCGGGCCTGGCTTAATTTTTTCCTCTGCAAAGAGCCATCTGTAGGGCCAGAGGCTGGCAAAGCCTGACTCATTACTGGACGCCAGTTCCTTTGCCTGACTTTCAGTGATTTCTACCTTACCCTGGGGTTTTATGTTGCTTGTCTCAACACTGTCACTTCTCATTCCTCCACAAGTTGAATTGCTCACTCCAGCCACTTGAAGCATGCTCTTCTTAACACAGTTAGCTCTAGGCACATGGTTGGTGCTAAAAAGGAAAAAAAAGAGAAGAGCATTATGTCAATTTCATTGATTAACAAAAGCGATGGCTCCACTGCAAAGCAAAGTTGATACTCCTGGGCCTCTGAGTTCAAGAGCCTTTTAGACAAATGGCTCTGAGCTAAAACATGATCATGCATGCATATGCATCTGTCTTGGTCTGATGAGATAATCTGGATACTTGCTTGTTATCCTTGAGCATTTTCCTGCCTCATTAATGTATGTGTAGCCACCACAATAATAATCATAGCTAATAATGGCTACAGCTGAGGGCTTTCCTGAACCAGGCAGTGGTTTTAAAAACTTTAACCCCTAAAGCTGAGGACTTTCCTAAGCTAGATAGTGGCTTTGAAAACTTTAAAGTTTTCACATAGACTGTCATTGAATAATTTCTGTTTTTCAGATCAAGAAACTGAGACTTACTATCATATTTGGGATTAAGCTAAAAAAAAAAAAAAAGAAAAGAAACAGAGGCTGAACGCTGTCAAGTATTTCACAGCCAGCAGGAAATCGGAACTTGAACCCAGGCAGTCTAGCCCTGGGATCCTTTCCCCTTACCCATTATCCAGTGTTGGCTACACAAAACTAATGAGTACATATTTTCAACTATAGTTTAAGTGGGTGACATATTTTTCACTATATTTTATGTAGGTGACTTTCAGTTTGGGGGTATTCTACTTACACAATCTATTGAGCTGGATATTAACTGAGAGCAAACAGAAACTAATGAACTCTGAAAAACATAAAACATGAGCAACATGACGTCACTGCAAGAGACAAAACAGCACATAGCCTTCTTGTGACTGTATTTTGCTGACAGTCCATGAGCTGATAGCCTGAACTCAGCAGTGCTGTTCCCTTGGGAGACACACACACACACACACACACACACACACACACACACACACGAGTTGGTGGTTTTCTGCCCCCCACCCCCACCCCAACACACACACGAGTTGGTGGTTGTGCTGCCCGGAGCCTCCAGTCCGCGAGTGTGAAGAACGGACCAGATGGGTCCAGCAGTGCTGGGTCAAGGCCAGGAGGGGCAGCCGGAAGCGCGCGCATGCTCTGGACTCCTGCAGCCGCCGAAACGGGTGCGCAGGGGGCGCGCGGGTTGAGGGGTGAGGGGCGACGGGTGTGAGGGGCGAGAGGGACGGGAGCGGGGTAGGGGCAGCCCTTTCCCAGGCGGTAGCGGGGACTGTGGTGCTGTTGCCCTTTTAAGCTGCGGCTTGACAGGAGCAGCGCCTCCTGTCGGTGGAGTCTGTTACAAGGGGAGCAGCCGCCCAGGCCGCCACACAGCTCCCCGCAGAGGCCTCGGTGCCCCTTGCCATTTTCCAGCCCTACTCCGACTAGAGTTGAGGCATCAGGGAGAGGCGGAGCTGGGAGAGCGCCGCCGAGAGGTCCCGCGGGTGGTTGCGGCCGTGACAGCGGCTCCCGACGGGCTCACCTTCCGCGCCCCTCCCGCCAGAGGTGAGAGTAAAATGTCCGTGTGAGGGTTCAAGGCCAAGCTGAAGTTGTTGGCCTCTATCTTCCACAAGAACCAGGAGCCGCCGCCGCAGCTCACGCTCCACTGCAACATCACGGTGAGGCGCCCAGTGGCGGCCTCACGGGGCAGGGCGAGGGCGGAGAGGAGGCGCCCAGAGTCCCGGGACAAAGGCGAGCCTGCCCGGGAGAGGCCCCGGTTCCCCAGGCGGGGCGAGCGCGCCCCTTTCTCCCGCTACTGGCCCGCCCCGCTGTGTGAGGCTTGCGTGGGAGGAGGGGGAGGGCGCGTCTCTCTGGCTCCTTGCCGCGGGGCTGGCTTGGGGGCTGCCGGCACCTCTCGCCCCAGTCGCTGCGCCCTGAGGTGGGAGCCCGCGTCGCCCGCAGACCTTTTGGGGCCCATGATCGCCCTCAGTCAGCTAGCCTGCTCCCCTGGACCGCGACGGGGCGTGGCAGGGCGGCTCCCGCTGTTGTTTGAGCCCAGTGAGGGAAGGGGAAAGGCCTTTAAGATTTTCGGTTTTTTGGCCGGGCGCAGTGCTCATTCCTGTAATCCCAGCACTATGGGAGACTGAGGCAGCTGGATCTCCTGAGGTCAGGAGTTCTAGACCAGCCTGGCCAACATGGTAAAACCCTGTCTCTACTAAAAATACAAAAATTAGCCGGGCATGGTGGCAGGCGCTTCTTGAGATGGAGTCTCACTCTGTCGCCCAGGCTGGAGTGCAGTGGAGCGATCTCGGCATACTGCAGCCTCCATCTCTTGACAGTCTGTGGGTTCAAGCGATTCTCCTGCCTCAGCCTCCCGAGTAGCTGGGATTACGGGAGCCCGCCACCACGCCTGGCTAACTTTTGTGTTGTTTAGTAGAGACGGGGTTTCATCATGTTGGCCAGGCTGGTCTCGAACTCCTGACCTCAAATGACCCATCTCTGCCTCCCAGAGTTCTGGGATTACAGGCCTGAGCCACCGCGCCCAGATCCAAGGCCCTTAAGCTTAAATGCCTCGTTCTTCAGTCAGGTTTTCCTTGTTCCCGCATGTTCAGCCAATCGTGTTTAAGGAGAAACTAACAATGAAAACGGACTCGTTGATGGAGGAAAAGTTGGAATGCAGCCTCTGGTGCTGTTTGAGCAATCCCTCTATCCCGGGTCGCTGCTGTGTTCTGGAAAGGCGCATTGTACCCTGGATGCAGCAGGTAAGAGTCCTGTCCAGGTGCTCTGCCCGCTTTTTCTTTCAGGCTTCTGTATCAGCTGTTTTTCCCCTGTAGAATGTGCCCCTGACAGCCACCCCCTAACCCTACCCAATTTGTCTTTACGTGTCTGACCATCAAGGCTCTTCTGGGTCATATTTAATTCATGCTGATATTTCCCCTTCCTCCCCTCTTTAGTCCTCACTATTTTTGCTTTGGTTATGTTATGCTGTATTCTGTAAGGCTTTAAAAAAAATTTTTATGGTGGCAGGGGAGAATGTTTTATAATTATGCTTTGTGCTTTTTATCTTCCACTCAATAAATGCTTGGTAAATATTTGTTTTATTGAATGTATGACCCTATTCTAGCTATATTGTGCTTGAACAAAAACCTTAACTGCCTTGTAAGTTAACTGCTAAGAATTTGTCAGAAGTGCAGACATAACATCAAGAACTTGTCATGGATAGTACAAAAAGGTCTCTAAGGGCTTGATGGAGGCCTGTAAATTGACTTCCTATGAAAGAGAGTGTAAGAAGTGAAAATGTAAAGCATGACTGGAGAGCCAGAGTGATGAAGCCAGGGTCCCTTTCTCCAGATCCTTTGTAACAGTGTTATGTGATCTCTTCTAGAAGATCGTTCTGAAAGATAATGCTAACTCGGAACCTAGGAAACCATCCAGTGGGTTTCTGCAGCTTAGGTGTTTCAAATCCTCATCAGCACGTTTGTTTTCTCTGCCTCAGTTTGCTTACAATGATGTTCTCAGTAGCTACAATTGCTGTCTTTGAATATGTAAGCATTTTTTTTTAGATGACAGGGATATATGTGCATTTTTATTTTACCAAGTGTTAGAATTTTTACTCTGCTTTTGTGGGCTCTGGGTTAGCTACTTGGTTGTTGTAAAATGATTAGCAGGGAAAGCTGTGTGTGTGTGTGTGTGTGTGTGTGTGTGTGTGTGTGTGTGTGTGTGTGTGTGTGTGTGGTTTCTTTTGTTGTCAGAGGACTTAGAATTTTATTTTATATGGTAATTCTGTCAATTTACTTTATTCTCCACCCCACATTTATTGAACAGCAAATTATGAAAGTAATGTGTCCCATAAGCAGCCTTCAGAAGAATTACAGCTGCTGTATATCTGAAATTCTTTTTTTTATTTTTTATTTTGAGATGGAGTCTCACTCTATCACCCAAGCTGGAGTACAGTGGTGCAATCTTGGCTCACTGGAACCTCTGCTGCCCAGGTTCAAGCAATTCTCCTGCCTCAGCCTCCTGAGTAGCTGGGATTACAGGCACCTGCCACCGCACCTGGCTAATTTTTGTAGCTTTAGTAGAGACAGGTTTCACCATGTTGGCCAGGCTGGTCTTGAATTCCTGACCTCGTGATCAGCCTGCCTCAGCCTCCCAAAGTGCTGGGATTACAGGTGTGAGCTACCGCACCTGGCTGAACTTTCAAGAAGAAGTTTGTGCATCAGTTTTCAAAAAATTATGATATCAAAAGATAGCTGTGCCCTACATTTGGAAAGATACAAAAACTGAACATACTGGCAGGCAGTTTTGCTTGCTGGTGCTTGAGATAGAGGCACACATTGGTCTCAGTGGAATTATGGAGAAAAATAGATAAAGTTATTTCTAAATAAGACCAAAAAATCCTTTTCTTAAGCAGTGACAGGTAAAGAGGTTGTCTTGACTAACCTTGAATTGTGTTGCCCTTGATTGAGACAGTTTTATGGTGGGATGGTAGTGGTGATAAACTTGCTGGAAATTTGTCTGCTTATAGTAACCTTTGTGGTAGCTGTCACAGACAACTTCATCTTCACAGGCCTTGAAATTAGTATAAAACTAACAGAATGGAGGAGAAACAAAGGACCTGAATAATTAGATGCTTAGATAATTGTTCCGTGTTTTCATAACTGGTGAAAAAGAGCAGTATTAGAAGCACTTACACATTCTATAGAAGGAACACTGCCTGAATTTATATTGTGATTTTTGAGCACCATTAACTGTATAAAAACAGGCATATTGTAGGTAATATTTTAAAGACAAACAGAAAATTTATCTTTTCAAGATGGATCTAAAACTTATCAAAATTACAAAATTTAAAACGTGATTGAAAAATATTAATGCATAGGTTTAAATATTGGTCATTTTAAATGTCTTTCAAAATAGATTGTCTCTTAAATATTCAACTGAACAAACTTTGAACATGTAGAGTTTGTGCCGAAGGTTAAATTTCCTGGGGTGATGGATATTTTGTAATATGGAAAACAAAACCTTCTTATTTTAAGAAATTTAGAAAACTTTTAGGCAAAACTAGAAAATATTACCTATGTAATTCTACCACTCAGAAGGTGCCACTGTCAGAAATTTGTATCTTTCCAGTCATCTGCTCACCTCTTTTCTCCTGTGCTTATATATGTTTCCTCTCCCTTAAAAATCAGATATTTGTTTGTAATCTGCTTTTTCACTCAACAGTATTGTAGATCCATGTTATAACTTACTCCTCTACATTGCCTTCAGTTATTGTGTGCTTTCTGTTGGATGACTTTACCATGTAGTCAGTCATGTTTTCTGGTACTGAATACATACGGGTATGTGTGTGTGTGCGTGCGTGTGTGTGTGCGTATTTTTTTGTAACTTAACTAATGCTTTAGACATCAGTAGGTAGACGTAAATCCTTGAAACCTTCCACGTGGTGACTTTCAGTTCTCATTGCTGAATTTGTTTCCAGAGATGGAAGAAATTATATTGTATGGGAACTTTTTTTTTCTTTTTTTTTGAGATGAAGTCTTGTTCTTGTCGCCCAGGCTGGAGTGCAATGGCGTGATCTCACTGCAACCTCCACCTCCTGGGTTCAAGCAATTCTCCTGCCTCAGCCTCCCGAGTAGCTGAGATTACAGGCGCATGCCACCATGCCTGGCTAATTTTTGTATTTTTAGTAGAGACGGAGTTTCACCATGTTGGCCAGGCTGGTCTTGAACTCCTGACCTCAGGTGATTTGCCCACTTCAGCCTCCCAAAGTGTTGGAAATACAGGTGTGAGCCACTGTGCCCAGCCTTTTTTTCATCTCAGTACCAGCTTTTATTTATCAGATTGGTAAAAATGTTAGAAAGTGTGCAATGAAATGGGCATTCTTACAGTCATGGCAAAAAATATAATTATCTTTGACTTTCTAGAAAGTAGTTTGGCTTTCTAGAAACTTGTTTGAATTCTCCCTGTTTAGGCAGGATGAATTCTCACTACCCCAAGGTGGCCAACCTTGTCCCTGTGATTCCATCTCTCCCAGAAAGAGAGGTCTAGTCTCAGGGAAAACCCAGATTTGTTTGGCTTAGCCCACCTGACAGCTAATCACTGGAAATGGGGTGGGCTGGTAGAATCCTTTGGTCAGGCTTTGTGTTGAGAGAGAGGTGGAAAGATGGGAGGGAGGTAGCAAAACTTGCCTCAGTGGAACTATGTAAGTTAATATAGAATGGCAAAAGGATGTTTCTTCCAAGGAAGAAATTCTAGGGAAGCAAGAAAGTGGAGGGGAAGGCAGCAGTTCTCCAAGTTTTGGGGTCAGGATTCCTTTACACTCTTAAAAATACATTGAGGGCCCAAGGAGCTTTGGTTTATGTAGGGTATATCTATTGGTATTTATCACTAGAAATTAAATCAGAAATATTTAAAATATTCTTTAAAAGCTCACCACATATTGTTATAAATGCTTTTATGAAAAGAAAATTTCTAAACCCAAAGTAGTACAATCTTACATCTTTTGCAAATTTTTTTGATGTTTGATATGTCATTTGCATGATGTTTGACATGTCATTAGCAAATTGATATGTCAGTTTGCTTCTGCATTCAATTTATTGTGTGATATTTTCTTGAAAAAATGTGAACAAAGACCAATCTCATACAGATAACATTTTAGATCATTGTGGATATATATATATTTTTTGAGATGAGGTCTTGCCCTGTTGCCCAGGCTGGAAGGTAGTGGTGTGATCACAGCTCACTGCAGCCTCAGTCTCCGGGGACTCAGGTGATCCTCCCACCTCAGCCTCCGGAGTAGCTGGGACTACAGGTGTGTACCACCACATTTGGCTAACTTTTTGTATTTTTTGTAGAGACAGGGTTTTGCCATGTTGCCTAGGCTTCTTTTTTGATACTCCATCAAATCTTGGTTTTTCTTGAACTTTGGATCTTCCACCCTTGCATGATATTACAACATCGTGCATTGGTCACTTATAAAATAGTGGTTCACTAGGATCTTCTACATGTTGATACATTTGATTGTACAGTATCAAAATACATTCATCAATACCACCATCAATCTCATCAGAATACTTTTGGAAAGTGATGGTGGACATAAGTTTTCTAAAATTCTAATTTTTTGTTCAAAAGCTTGAATTTTATTAGTAATTTTGTTATTGAATTTTATTATAGCCTGTCTGTTGTTTTCCTTGAAATGACAGAATCTCATGTTTTGAGAAAATATCTGCCAGAAATGCGAGTTAAAATAACATTTTTTGTCAGTCAGCCTTTCAAGTAAAAATGGTATTCCATTAAAGTGGTTAATTCACTTCATGACTTAGTCACTCAAGGGTTTTTTTCTCAGGCAGCCTGTAGGAATGCTCATGTATACTTCCCATTTCATCACTTGAAATATTAAAAAGATATATTCAAGGATTTAGATATAGTAAAATATTCACTGCTTCATCATAGACATTTTTTTTTTTTTTAATTTTTGAGATATGGCCTTGTTCTGTCGCTGAGGCTGGAGTGCAGTAGCGTAATCACAGCTCACTGCAGCCTCAACTTTCTGGGTTCAGTCAATCCTCCTGCCTCAGCCTTCCAAGACGCTGGGACTACAGGCATGCAGCCACTGTGTTCAGCTAATTTTTGTATTTTTTGTAGAGATGAGGTTTCACCAGGTTGCCCATGCAGGTCTTGAACTCCCGGGCTCAAGGGATCCCCCTGCCTGGGCCTTCCAAAGTGCTGGAATTACAGACATGAGCCAAAATTCCCAACCTTATCATAGACATTCTTAAATGAAACTAACCTTTTGTTGCCCTTCCTTTTTATTTTTATTTTTGAAGACGGAGTTTTGCTCTGTTGCCCAGTCTGGAGTTACATAGGTGCAATTTCAGCTCAAGGCAACCTCTGCCTCCCAGGTTCAAGTGATTCTCCTGCCTCAGCCTCCTAAGTATTTGGGAATACAGGCATGCACCACCACACCGAGCTAATTTTTGTATTTTTAGTAGAGATGGGGTTTCACCATGTTGGCCAAGCTGGTCTCAAACTCCTGACCTTAGGTGATCCGTCGACCTCAGCCTCCCGAAGCACTGGGATTACAGGCGTAGGCCACCATGCCCCACCCACCCTTCCTTTTTAAACCTTTCCTGTTCATAGTGAAGAATACCATGACTACTAGTAGTAGTTTGGTGTTACTGCCTTTGTTTGTGCTAAAGTACCAGCATTTTTACCCACCATTGTATTTGCACACTTACAGCAAATGTCACCATGTTAATATTCCTGTCAAAATAGTTTGGACTTGGGGGTCTGAGGGCCGCACTTTGGGAACCATTGAAATAGGTACTTAGACGTACTAGATATCATATCTTTTCATCTACAAGGTTTTTAAAAACTTGATTTCAGTTAATTTTTTTTTTGTAATTTTTAAAATATGGTTTTGAGGGGTTTCAGTCCAGAGCAACAACACATATTTTATTTTGCTTACGCTGAAGTTTACTAGAAAATACTAACCTAACAGAATGAAGTCCTAAATCTAATTGCAATTTCCTTAGCCAAAATAAAAAAAACCCAAAATTAAAAGCGTAAAAATAGTCCATATGGTGTATTCTCAGTGTATGCTGAAGAATTTATAGAAGAAAATGCAATACTCAGTAAGTGGTGTTCTTTAAGAATAGGATTGGCTGGGCGCAGTGGCTCACGCCTGTAATTCCAACACTTTGGGAGGCCGAGGTGGGCGGATCATCTGAGATCAGGGGTTCGAGACCAGCCTGACCAACATGGAGAAACCCCGTCTCTACTAAAAATACAAAATTAGTGGGGCATGATGGCACGTGCCTGTAATCCCAGCTACTCAGGAAGGCTGAGGCAGGAGAATTGCTTGAACCCGGGAGGTGGAGGTTGTGATGAGCTGAGATCGTGCCACTGCATTCCAGCCTGGGCAACAGGAGCGAAACTCGGTCTCAAAAAAAAAAACAAAAAAAGAAAAAAAAGAATAGGAGTAATTCTGGAGTTTCTTTTAGCCTGTAGGAGTAATTCTGAAGAGTTTCTTTTAGCCTGTAAAGAGATTTGGAACACAGTAAGAGAGGAATGAGAAGAATGAGAATAGTAAAATAAACCATTATTGAAGAGATATACTGTTAATGATGTCCTCCATCAATACAACTTGTTTTTCTTTTTTTTTTTTTTTTTGTTTTTTGAGATGGAGTCTTGCTCTATCGCCAGCCTGGAGTGCAGTGGACATCTCAGCCCACTGAAACCTCTGCCTCCCGGGTTCAAGTGATTCCCCTGCCTCAGCCTCCTGAGTAGCTGGGACTACAGGCACCCGCCAGCGCGCCCAGCTAATTTTTTTGTATTTTTTTAGTAGAGATGGGGTTTCTCCGTGTTAGCCAGGACGGTCTCGATCTCCTGACCTCGTGATCCGCCCACCTCGGCCTCCCAAAGTGCTGAGATTAGAGGCGCGAGCCACCGTGCCCGGCCCATCTTGTTTTTCTTAAAAAGGAACCTTCAGTAAATATTTGGTTTCTGTGGCTTCAGCTTTAATTCAGATTACAGTTTTCAAAGCAGTGTTGCCTAAAGTTGTTTGTGCAAAATTGTTTTCTGTGACTTCAACCTAGTTATTCTGAAGCTAATATATAATAATAATGGTTTTTCCCCAATTTATAATAGAGAACAGTACAAAGTAACAGCAGAAATGTCTGTTAGTGGGTGAAAGCACATAATGCATAGTTCATTAGCTTTTTTAAAAAATCACATGTAATTGTGTTACAAAAATATATGTATAGTAATGGCATTTACTTGGTATTACCTGGTTTGTGTGATAGAATAAAATATTAGAATTTTATGGTGTTTGAGTTAGTTATCTATTGCTCTGTAACAAACTGAGCAGCTTAAAATAACAAACATTATCTCAGTTTCTGTGGGTCAGGATTCTGTCCAGTTTACCTTGGGTTCACTGGCTTGGCCTCTCACCAGGCAGTGAAGGTGTTGGTGGTGGCTGTGATCATCCCAAGGCAGGATAGGGAGAGAATCTGTCTCCAAGATCAGGTTGGCAGGATTCATCTCAGAGGCTGCTGGACTGGGCCTCCGTTTCTAGATGGCCATTGGTCAGAGGCCTTTTACAATACCTTGTCACGTGGGCCTCTCCATAGGGCACCTCATCACATGGCAACTGGCTTCCATCAGAGGGAGCAATGGAAAGAGCAGGAGAAGGGTGACCAAGGCAGGCATCGTAGTCTCCTTGTAGCCTCACCTCAGAAGCGATGTTACTTTTGCTGTATTCTCTTTGTTAGAAGTGAGTCACTAGGTCCAGGGGTGGAATTTTACAAGGGTGTGAATGGCAGGAGGTGAGGGTGATCAGGGCCATTTAAAGGCTGCCTACCAGTGTTGAAGAAAGTTGTTGACTTCTATGAGCTGTAGCAGCAGACAGTGCTATGCAAGGAGAATGGCTGTCTCAGAAGTCCAGCTCCTCACATGGGTTTAAACGTGTTGCCTTTTCCCCCTGATACATTTTGTTTAAATCCATGGTCATCTTGCCATTTAGTGGTGTGGTTTAATTGCATATTTGGGTTAGTCTGTATGTAAACATTTAACATAGGTGTCTCTGGGTTAAACAGGAATCCTATTCATCTTCTTCACCGATATGGTCTGTGGACTCTGATGAGCCAAATCTGACATCAGTTCTGGAACGTCTAGAAGATACTAAGGAGAACAGTTCGGTGAGGAAAGAAACCAAGCTATTTTCTCTTTTCCTCATGAACATTATATTTAGAAATTAAATGGTAAGTGATAATATTATATAAAAACATGATTAACAACTGTAATCTTAGAGGAATTAAAGTCTGGGTATTTTAAGTCCTCCAAATCTTATTTACTACCTGGTTTCTCTTTATTATTTCCCACATGTATAATCTTAGTTTAGATTAGCAATTCGGGATCTCTTTTTCCCTGAATTCTAACCATTAAGCCAAGCAAGCATTTTGGGTGGAGACCACTAGCCAAGGTGGGAAGTAGAAAGAAGACCAAGGTGGAAGTGAAGGGAGAGATGGGGAGAATGACACCAAAACTAGTGGGAGGGGATTGCCTTTTCTTTCAAGGGTCTGTAAGTCTGCAGTAAAAGTCAAAGGTATTCAAATAGGAAGTTTGTTTTTGTCTTTAGTATATAAAGAAGCATAACTTTCCATTTTGCAAAAACTTTAGAAACCTTTTTTTCTTGATTATAAAACTTATAAGCAACCATTATTGAGAAGATTAGTAAAATATAAAAAAATAAAAATCTCACATAATTTCTCTACCTAATATAACTACTGTTGACATGATAGCTAGTTTCTATCAGTATGTATTGCTTCTTTGTTATCAAAGTACTTATACCCTTACAGATATGTTTAAATAGTTGAGGTCATATTCTATAAATATCTATAAATAGCTGGGTGCTGTGGCTCACACCTGTAATCCCAGCACTTTGGGAGGCCGAGGCAGGCAGATCACAAGGTCAGGAGTTTGAGACCAGCCTGGCCAATATGGTGAAACCTCATCTCTACTAAAAATACAAAAATTAGCCCGGTGTGGTGGCAGGTGACTGTAGTCCCAGCTACTCGGCAGGCTGAGGCAGGAGAATTGCTTGAACCCAGGAGGCAGAGGTTTCAGTGAGTCGAGATCGCACCACTGAGGTCCAGCCTGGGTGGCAGAGCAAGACTCCATCTAAATAAATAAATTATGTATACACACACATACACACACCCTCATATATATATACACACATATGTGTGTGTATACACACACACACACACACACACACACACACACACCTACACATGACCGATTGCCTCGCCTCTAGCATTGGGAATCAGTCACCGTGCTGTCCTTGTGGAGTCTTGTGGCCCAACAAGAGGAAGCTCTTCCCTGACATTGCCCCTCCAAAGTGCGCCACTTCCAGTGCGCCCCACTGTCATGCCCGGCCTGTGGACAGCCAGACCCTGCCATCCCTCCCACCCCCGACCAAGCATGGGGGTGCTCTGTAGGTAGCTGTGTGGCCTGACAGTCTCTACCAGTCCTGCTGTCCCTCAGCTGAGAATCAAACCCATTTCTGGATGACAGGGAATGTGTCTTCTGCTGGCTGTGTTCTCTGTGGAGCTCAGGGGAGGGAAAAGGCCAAGCTATTTCTAGGGTGCTGTCAGGACCGATGAAAAGGTCACACCCTTTCCAAGAGACACTTTTCCTGGAAAGCCCCTGGAGCTTAGCTGGCTTTTATCCTGTGATAAGCCAGAGGCTCTGGGGGGTGAGGGAGCAGAAACCCTCCTCACCCCAGCCAACGGGGACCTGTATACCTCTGCCAGTCTCTCACTTGGCCTTGCTGCTGTCCTCTGAGACTGCCTGTTCCTCCCTCTCTGTGACTCTACACCACCATCACCTCCTCCAGGAAGTCCTCTGGATTGACTCCTAGCTTATTACATCTTTATTGTGCAGACCCTCTCCATTCAAAGCCCCTCTTCAACTGCCCCCCCCCCACTACCTCCAAGACAGAGATTCTGGATTCTTGCAACTGCAGCCCCTCAGAGAGTGTAAGAGGGGCAGAAAAAGGAGATCAGGAGGTGAGGGAAGCAGCGCTGTCAGAGTTTCCAAAGCCCCGGCCAGCAAGGCCTCAGAGGCCTCTGTTGGAGTGGGGGCCTCCCTGGCTATGCGCTCCAGCTGCACAAGGCAGCCTCTGTGAGCCTCTCCCACTCAGCCCTACAGGAAGCAGCAGGGCCCAGCCTCAATGGACCCATTCAGACCCCAGCGCTCCGGAAAGTACCTCTGCTTCCTGCCACCATTCCACTCTGGCCAAACAGGCTCTACTCTCTTCTGATGGGAGGAGGCCGCAGGCAGGTGGTTCAGTGGTTAGGGCCAACCATCTACTTCAGTTCCTGTCTGGCCCAGATCTCTGACGTTGACCATGCCCTAGTGGGTGTATGTATACCTTTAGTGCAAGGGTGGTGTGACAGTTAATACTGAGTGTCAACTTGATTGGGGTGAAGGCTGCAAAGTATTGACCTACTGGAAGTGTCTGTGAGGGCATTGTAAAAGGAGATAAACATTTGAGTCAGTGGGCTGGGGAAGGCAGACCCACCTTTAATACTGGTGGGTACCATCTTTCTAATCAGCTGCTAGCGAATATAAAGCAGGCAGAAAAACATGAAAAGGTAAGATTGGCCTAGCTTCCCAGCCTACATCTTTCTCCCATGCTGGACACTTCCTGCCCTCTAACATCGGACTCCAGGTTCTTCAGTTTTGAGACTCGGATTGGCTCTCCTTGCTCCTCAAACTTGCAGACAGCCTATTGTGGGACCTTGTGATTGTGTAAGTTAATACTTCATAAACTCCCCTTTATATATCTATCTATATCTATATCTATATCTATTATCTATATCTATATCTATTATCTATATCTATATCTGTCTATATCTCCTATTAGTTCTGTCCCTCTAGGGAACCCTGATTAACACAGGTGGGTAGGCACAGGGAGATGTGCCCCCTTCCCCGTGGGTGCTGGGTAGGTAAATGTTTCGCAAAGGGCTTTCTTGGGGAGAGGGAACCCTGATTTTCAGTATTTGCCTCTTTTCCTGGTATAAATATTCCCACTGTGGGCAGTATCACCTGCCTCTCAAAATTCCTGAAAATTCAACAGTTGGCTCCTGGCAGCTGCTGTGAGCCGTTCCAGCCGGTGACTGTGGTGGCTCCATCCTGCAGGGCCATGTGCCCCCACCCCTTGTGCTATGGCCACCCTCACTTTAGTGTGCTGTGTTTTGCTCTTAGGAATCAATGTCTTTGCAGATAAGGCACCCCAGTAGCTGGCCACCACCTGCAGTTCCCTGGTCTGTCTCTTGCTGGCACCAAGCTGTGCTGTGCCTGCTGAGACTGCTGGGCCACCCCAGCGCATATGGTCTGCGGGGCTTACTTGATTCCCTTAGCTTCCCAGCCAAGGTGCTGGTGTTGCCAGCAGTGCTGGCAGGAGGAGGGGATAACTAGAGGGGATTTAACTCAACCCGAGGGGCTCTTACGGGATCTTTCCTGGATATCCCTCCAGGTGGGGCTGGCTGCCCTGAGGGTGTACAAACTTCCAACTCCTCCAATGGCTGAAGCTACTTCCTCGAGCAGATGGCAGCTGGCTCAGGCTGGCTAGGGACCAGTGCATGTGAGGTCGGTGCTGGATCACCCCATCAAGGCCATCAGCCTGTGCTTGTTCTTGGGGTTTGAGGGAAACCCAACAGGGATGAATCACAGTTTTTAACCTGTGTTTGTCTGCCCCCCAGCCCTGGACATCTGCAGGCAAAGTTAAAGTTATATTTGGCTCTTATCACCACAAAAGGCATAGACCAGAAATTATGGCATCGGGTTGGAAGTCAGGGAGGCTAATTTGGGGAAACTGCCTGGAGGAAGCAGCAACTCAAAAGAGGAGGAGTCCCACTGTGGGACAGAACAGGCCCTGCATAAGAACCACTAACCCCAGGCAAGCCCAGACATGGCCTTCTGCCTGGGGAGGCCCTCTTTGGCCTGCTCAGCAGACCATCAGCCCCTTCTAGGCCCTGTCTTCAGCCTCAGACTGAGTGGTGGCCTGGGGAGGTTGGGAGCTGAGCTGTTCTCATCCCTGGTTCCTTGGCCACGGTGGAAACAATGGGGCCGGATCTGACTGCTCAGCGGGGACTGTGAATAGCTCTCTAGCAGGAAGCAACAGCAGGGGTAGTGGAGGAAGTGTGGGCCCACTTTGGTTTGACACTGCATATGGTCCCCATCTGGCCTGAGAGCCTTTACTCCTTGGCAAACTCAGGCCAATAAGCTCCTGCCCCCACCCTCAATGGCAGCTGGAAGAATGGCCTGAGGGAGAAGCAGGGATAGGTGGGCTGCAGTGACATCACCCCCAGATCCCAGCCGTGGCCCCAGCCAACCCATGGAGGTGGGGCATGGCACAGCAGGTGCTGCACAGGAGCCCAAGCACAAGGGCACTTAGGAGAAGGAATCTGAGCAGGGATCGATCTGGCCTGGGGGTGATTCTCCAGAAACTCCATTCCTCGGGGCTGTGACCACCAAGCCAGGTGATCAGGCCAGTGATGTTTCCCTTTGGGCCAGGTCGGGGAGCCAGACCTGGGAGGGAGACTCCTCTGGGGCCCAGGGGAGGTGAGTCAGAGCTGGCAGAGGCCTCTGGCTCCAGGAACCTCCAAGGAGGAGACCTGAGTTGCTGGGAATTTCTGGGTCTGACCTCCTGCCAAGTCAAGGTCTGGGCTGGACACAAGGTGAGGCTGTGCCTTCTGGTGCCAGGACCAAGGAAATGCTGGGATCTGGGCAGTGCTCAGAGGCAGCACCGTATGGCAGAACCATGAGGGTGCACCAGCACGGACCCCTTTCTGCAACCCACCCATCCCTCCCTGCAGCACCTCGCCTCCTCCAGGCAAGAATCTGAGCCTTGACCACAGCTCCCTCTCTCACACAGCTTCCTTCTTTGGTTAGAACCACCCGGAGGTGACTGTGGCCATGGCTCTGACTGACATAGACCTGCAGCTGCAGTTCTCCATGTCCCAACCCGAAGCCCTCCTTCTCCTGGCAGCAGGCCCAGCTGACCACCTCCTGCTGCAGCTCTACTCTGGACACCTGCAGGTGAGTGACGTCCCCCTGGGATTGGGGCGAGATTCCTTGTCTAGCTTTGAGTGAACCCCAGCTGGCTGTTGACCTTGTGTAAGTCACTTTTCTTGGGGTCTCAAGTTCTCCACTGTGGGATGGGCAGCAGCAGCTCAGAAATGGTAAATCCTTCATGAACTGGCTCTGCCCACCGGCTCCTTCCAACCATGTTTCCCACCACAAGCCCTCACTGGCCCTTTGTGCTCTGACTACACTGAACTGCTTTCAGTTCCTGGCCATCTTATGGTCACTTGCAGCCAGGCCTTTGGTCATCACACTCCTCCTGCCAGGTGTGTGACCCACCCATTCCCTGTACCTGCCGAACTCTAGTCTCTCCTTGAAGTTTCAGTGTGGGCATCCCCTCCTCCTCGGCGAGACCCCCTCCTGGGCCCCCATGACCCCTGCGCATCCTGGTGGCACTGCACCAATTTATCTGCAGCACCACTGTCTGTCCATGAGAGTAACAGCACCAGTACTGCCTCAGCTTCATTTTTCCATTTCATCCTTCAAGACACCACAAGCTTTATTATCAAGGAGTCTTGTGGCTCCTACTTGAGTCTTACCCCATACCAGGAAGAGTTTAAGAACCCAGGGTCTTAGTCCAAATTTGGGGCAGGCTGGGTGCAGTGGCTTATGCCTATAATCCCACCACTTTGGGAGACCAAGGTGGAAAGATCACTTGAGCCTAGGAGTTCAAGACTGGCCTGAGCCACACAATGAGACCCCATCTCTATTTTAGAAGGAAAAAAAAAAACAAATTAACAAATTTGGGGCAGCCATCTCTTTCCACACCCCAGTGGGAAGAGGACTAGGGCTTGGTCAGTCTGCTGCTGTCATTGCTGCTCATTGCCACAAGGTGTCACTGTTGAACACCTATGTGGTGCAGTCTGGTGCTGATGGCTGCTGAGCTGTGCAGGTAGTGATGCCACATCCCTACAGAGATGCACCATACCAGGACTCCAAGATCATGGTTCTTAGTGTTCTGGTTCTGCAGTTCCCATACTCTGCCATCACCTATTCTAGCATCTGGGAGCACCATACCAGAGCCATTTCATGTGTCAATGTCATGGTGACAGAACTATGTCCTTCATCTCTCCTTGAGATATTCCTCCACCACAGGTCAGGCAGCTTTTTTTTTTTTTTTTTTTTCCAGAACACAGAGCATCTGCCTGGGCTCCCTGTCCCTGAACAGTTAGCCTGGCTTCCTTCAGTGACCTCGAGAAACTTTGCCAAACTTAGGGGGACTGATCAACGGATTCTCAGTTACCCATTATTCCAGGGGTGAAATCTAGATTCCAAGACAATATTTCTGGTGCTTCTCACTCAAGGAAAGAGGAGGAGAATTTAAAAATACAGGTTGGGTTTCTAGAAGAGCATCTTGCTATATGTCAGTTCCTTGTGGGCAAGGACCACATCTGATTCACACCAGGGTCCCCAGAGCCCATCCAGGCCTGGCCCAGAGTTTCCTTTGGTGAGTGTTTGGAGGATGAATAAAGAGATGGCAGGAAGGCAAGAGGAGTGGCACCAGAGGCCCTTGTCCTAGGTTTTCTGCTCTGGGGCCCCCTGTGGGGAACCCACTGTGCTTTTATAAGGGAAATGATGGATTCAAAGTGCTGCCCCCCATCTCCCATTCCCCGTCTCTCCTCAGGTCAGGCTTGTCCTGGGCCAGGAGGAGCTGAGGCTGCAGACCCCAGCAGAAATTCTACTGAGTGACTCCGTCCCCCACACCACAGTTCTGACTGTCTCAGAGGACTGGCCCACATTGTCAGTCAATGGGTTTCTGAATGCCTCCTCTGTAGTCCTGGGAGCCCCCCTAGAAGTCCCCTATGGGCTCTTTGTTGGGAACACTGGGAGACTTGGCCTGCCCTACCTGAGGGGAACCAGCCATCCCCTGAGGGGTTGCCTCCATGCAGCCGCTCTCAATGGCCGCAGACTCCTCCAGCCTCTGACCCCCAATAAGCATGAGGGCTGTGCTGAAGAGTTTTCTGCCAATGACGATGTGGCCCTGGGCTTCTCTAGGTCCCACTCTCTGGCTGCCTTGCCTGCCTGGGGCACTCAGGATGAAGGAACCCTGGAGTTTACACTCACCACACAGAGCTGGCAGGCACCCTTGGCCTTCCAGGCAGCAGGCTGGCATGGGGACTTCATCCATGTGGACATATTTGAGGGCCACCTGTGGTCCATGGTTGAGAAGGGCCAGGGTACTGTATTGCTCCTCAACAGTGTGCCTGTGACTGACGCACAGCCCCACAAGGTCAGCATCCACATCAACATTCACCAGCTAGAAATCTCCATGGACCAGTACCCCACATGTACTTTGAACCGAGGAGTCCTCAGCTACCTGGAGCCACGTGACAGTCTCCTTCTTGGGGAGCTGGTGCAGAGGCCTCTCGTCACCTCCAGGAACACCGCTCAGGCCTGACACCAGGGGCTGCCAATGCCTCCCTGCTGGGCTGGCTGCATGGAAGACCTCAGTGTCAATGGCTAGAGGCGGGGGCTGTGGGAAGCCTTGCTGACGCACAACATGGTGGCTGGCTGCAGACTGGAGGAGGTGGAGGAGTATGAGGACAATGCCTATGGCCATTATGAAGCTTTCTCCACCCTGGCTCCCGAGGCTTGGCTGTCCGTGGAGCTAGCTGAGCCATGCGTGCCTGAGCCAGGGCTACCTCCTGTCTTTGCCAATTTCATCCAGCTGCTATCAGTGCAGTGGTGGTGACCGAGGGTGGCACAGCCTGGCTTGAGTGGTGGCATGTGCAGCCCATGCTGGCACTGATGGAGGCTGAACTGCGTAAATCCCAGGTGCTGTTCAGCGTGACCTGAGGGGCACACTACAGCGAGCTCGAGCTGGATGTCCTGGGTGCCCAGGCATGAAAAATGTTCACCCTTCTGGACGTGGTGAACTGCAAGGCCCGCTTCATCCACGATGGCCCTGAGGACACCTCTGACCAGCTGGTGCTGGAGGTGTCAGTGATGGCTTGGGTGCCTATGCCCTCATGCCTGCGGAGGGGCCAAACAGACCTCCTGCCCATCCAGGTCAACCCTGTCAATGACCCACCCCACATCATCTTCCCACATGGCAGCCTTATGGTGATCCTGGAACACACACACAAGCCTCTGGGGCCTGAGGTTCTCCAGGCCTATGACCTGGACTCTACCTGTGAGGGCCTCACCTTCCAGCTCCTTGGCACCCCCTCTGGCCTCCCCGTGGAGCACCGAGACCAGCCTGGGGAGCCGGTGACTGAGTTCTCCTGCTGGGAGTTGGAGGCCGGCAGCCTAGTCTATGTCCACTGCGGTGGCCCTACACAGGACTTGACATTCCGGGTCAGCAATGGACTGCAGGCCAGCCCCCCGGCCATGCTGAAGGTGGTGGCTGTCCAGCTGGCCATACAAATCCACCGCAGCACAGGGCTGCATCTGGCCCAGGGCTCTGCCATGCCCATCTTGCCTACCAACCTGTTGGTGGAGACCAGCGCCGTGGGGCAGGATGTGACCGTGCTGTTCCATGTCACCGGAGGCCTGCCGTTCAGGGAGCTGCAGAAGCAGGGGGCTGGTGGGGTGGAGGATGCTGAGTGGTGGGTCACACAGGCGTTCCACCAGCAGGATGTGGAGCAGGGCCACGTGAGATACCTGAGCACTGACCCACAGCACTACACCGAGGACACCGTGGAGAACCTGGATCTGCAGGTGCAGGTGAGCTGGGAAATCCTGAGCAATCTGTCCTTCCTAGTGACCATCCAGAGAGCCACTGTGTGGATGCTGCAGCTGGAGCCACTGCACACTCAGAACACCCAGCAGGAGGCCCTCACCACAGCCCACCTGGAGGCCACCCTGGAGGAGGCAGGCCCAAGCCCCCCAACCTTCCACTGTGAGGTGGTTCAGGCTCCCAGGAAAGGCAACCTTCAACTACAGGGCACGATGATGTCAGACGGTCAGGGCTTCACCCAGGATGACGTACAGGCTGCAGAGGTGACCTATGGGGCCATGGCACGTGCCTCAGTGGCAGTGGAGGACACCTTCTGTTTCCATGTCACAGCTCCACCATATTTCTCCCCACTCTGTACCTTCTCCATCCATATTGGCGGTGACCCAGACATGCCTGTCCTCATGGTGCCCGAGGGTGGTGAGTGTGTCCTCTCTGCTGACCAGCTCTTCATCAAGAGTCTCAACAGTGCCAGGTACCTCTATGAGGTCATGGAGCAGCCCCGCCATGGGAGGTTGACTTGGCGTGGGACACAGGACAAGATCACTATGGTGACATCCTTCACCAATGGAGACCTGATGCATGGCCAGCTGGTCTAGCAGCATGATGACTCCGAGATCACAGAAGATGATATCCCATTTCCTGCTGCCACCAGGACCAGAGCAGTGGTGACGTGGCCTGGGAGGAGGTATGGGGTGTCTTCTGAGTGGCCATCCAGCCTGTGAATGACCACGCCCCTATGCAGACCATCAGCTGCGTCTTCCATGTGGCCTGGGGTAGGTGGCGGCTGCTGACTACAGACAACATGGCCTTCAGCAATGCTGATTCGGGCTTTGCTGAGGCCCAGCTGGTGCTGACCCACCAGGACCTCCTCTCTGGCAGTATCATGGCCACGGATGAGCCCATGCAGCCCATCTGCCGCTTCATCCAGGAGGGGCCTCAGGAAGAGGCGAGTCCTGTTCACACACTCAGGCTGACCACGGCTGGATCCCGCTGCAGGTGTCCGATGGGCAGCACCAGGCCATCACGGTGCTGGAGGTGCAGGCCTTGGAGCCTTACCTCTGTGTGGCCAATGGCTCCGGCCTCATGGTTCCTCAAGGAGGCCAGGGTACCATCAACATGGCCGAGCTCCACCTGGGCACCAACCTCAACATCTGCAGTAGGGATGAGGCCCACTACCACGTCACAGACAGCCCTCACTGGGGACAGTTGCTCCAAGCCACTCAGCCAGCCACAGCCTTCTCTCAGCAGGACCTGCTGGTTGGGGCTGTTCCCTATGGCCACAATGGCAGCCTCAGCTCCTGCAACACCCTGGCCTTCTCAATGGATGTGGGACCAGTGCACACAGATGCCACCCTACAAGTGACCATTGCCCTAGAGGGCCCAGTAGCCCCACTGAAGCTGGCCCAGCACAAGAAGATCTACATCTTCCAGGGAGAGGCAGCTGAGATCAGAAGGGACCAGCTGGAGGTGAGGAGCTGGAGGTGGTGAGCGGGGTGTGGACCAGGTAGAGGGCCTTCCTCCCAGCCTCCATGCCGGGAACACATGTGACTTGGGCTGTACCTGTGGTGGTCCCAGCTTGCGTGTGTGCACGTGCCTCAGATATGCTCCCATATATGTTGTGTTCCCAAGAGTTTCTGGGGAGCTTGCTGTACACCCATCCTCCTGGGAGTGGTGTGTGCCTCTAGAGCTGGTGCCCACTCATGTCCATGGCATGGCTGAGCATGCAGATTCCTGGACGCCACCCAGCCCTACAGAATCTCTGAAGTGGAGCCCGAGAATCTGCATTGCAGTCAGTTCCCTGGGAGGGCATCACGGGTCCTGAACTTTTGGGATTGCTGGCCGTGGAGACAGGCCGCTGCCTCTCAGACCCCTGTGTACCCCGCTCTCTTCTCAGAGCCCAGACCAGGACCAGGAGGGTCTGTCAAGGGCTTCTGCTTACCCAGGAACCTCACAGAGCAGCCACGGGCCTTCCAGAGATCTGACATGCCCTGTGACCTCAGGCCAGTCCTTGCCCGCTCTCAGCCTTACTCTTCCACACTGCTTATTTCGGAGACCCTTCTGGTCTGCATCTGGAGCTTGGGGCCCATGGTGAGCCAGCAGATCTGGCATCAGGAAGGCCTCATGGGAGGAGGCAGTGTTTGGGCCGGGCTCTGAAGAGTACAGGCCATTAGGAGCAGAGAATGGGGAGTGGTATTCCATGCAAAAGGAACATTCCGGCCGAAGGCACAAAACAGGAATGTGAGTTTGGAGGCAGTTTAGCCTCTTGTGGATGGCCCATCAGGTGAGGGAGCCCATGTGGCCTTTGGGGTGTGAGCTCTGTAGGGCCTGTGCTGGGGGTGCCTGTGCCTCTAGGAGGGGTGGGGTGGGGTGGGGCAGGGCACCCTCTGATGGTCCTGGGTGGTAATAGCAGGGGTTGGGGAGGATGCTGCCAGCAAACCAGCCACAGGCCTGAACAGATCCTGAGCAGGGGGCCTGTGTGCGTGTGCACACACGCATGTGTACCTGTACCTGTGTGACTGCATCGGCATCTGATGAACTCATATGTCTGTGTCACTGAGTCTGGGGACATGTGATTATGCACTTCCCTGAGGGAGTGCATCTCAAGCTGTGTGACCGACACCCCGTAACCATGTGTGGGGTGGGTATTAACATGTGACCAGCTGGGGCAACCCAGTGAAACCCCATCTCTACACAAAACATTTAAAAATTAGCCAGGCATGGTGGCACATGACTGTGGTCCCAGCTACTTGGGAGGCTGAGCCCTTGAGCCTAGGACGTTGAGGCTGCAGGGAGCTGTGATCACACCACAGCACTCCAGCCTGGGTGACAGAGTGAGACCCTGTCTCAAAAAAACAAAAAATATGACCAGCTGCATGTCTGGCTGCTGTGTGTGTGAACCCACATGTGTGTGTGTCACTAAATGAGCAGTGGTATCTGGGGAAATAAGTGGAGCAAGATCAAGGCTGTTCTGGCTGCTTAGGGCCACAGTGGGCCCCTCTGAGACCCCTCTGCGCATTCCCTTGTGAGTCCTCATGACCTCTGTTAACCAGGTAGCCCAGGAGGCAGTGCCGCCAGCAGACATCGTTTTCTCAGTGAAGAGCCCACCGAGTGCCGGCTACCTGGTGATGGTGCTGCGTGGCATCTTGGCAGATGAGCCACCCAGCCTGGACCCCGTGCAGAGCTTCTCCCAAGAGGCAGTGGACACAGGCAGGATCCTCTACCTGCACTCCCGCCCTGAGGCCCGGAGCCATGCCTTCTCGCTGGATGTGGCCTCGGCCTGGGTGCTACCCTTGAGGACGTCACGTGGAGCTGGAGGTGCTGCCTGCTGTCATCCCCACTGGGGGCACAAAACTTCAGCAGTAGAGGGGGCACAGTCGCAGCTGCACCCTGGCCCCTCCACTGCTCCGCGTTGCCAGGTCCTACTTCCCCACTCTCCCGGGCCTTGGCCTGCAGGTGCTGGAGCCACCCCGGCATGGGGCCCTGCAGAAGGAGGATGGGCCTCAAGCCAGGACCCTCAGCACCTTCTGCTGGAGAGAGGTACGGCTGTGAGAGAGGCCCAGGGGCTGCAGCCCAGCTCTGGGGGCAGAGTGGAGGGAGCCCCGGGGACTCCCAGTCCAGGGGTTATACAGAGAGGAGACAGGGAGTCACATTTCAGAAAGACCTATGCTTTAGATGCTGTATCTCGGGCTGGGCGCTGTGGCTCATGCCTGTAATTCCAGGACTTTGGGAGGCCGAGGTGGGCAGATCAGGAGGTCAGGAGATCAAGACCATCCTGGCTAACACGGTGAAACCCTGTTTCTACTAAAAATACAAAAAATTAGCCGGGTGTGGTGGCCCGCACCTGTAGTCCCAGCTACTCAGGAGGCTGAGGCAGGAGAATCGCTTGAATCTGGGAGGCAGAGGTTGCAGTGAGCCGAGATCACACCACTGCACTCCAGCCTGGGCAACAGAGCGAGAGACTCTGTCTCAAAATAAAATAAAATATCCCCTTTCTTCCTCACAACTCCTCTGGGAACCAGAACTTATGGTCCCCATTTTCCACCAATGGAAGCTGAGGCCCTAAAAGGGTCAGTCTCTTCCTGCACCCAAAGGCAGAACATGAAGGGTGCTGCTGGGGTCTGACTGCCAGCCC
The DNA here is from genome assembly GCF_000001405.40 of Homo sapiens. Lineage (NCBI taxonomy): Eukaryota > Metazoa > Chordata > Mammalia > Primates > Hominidae > Homo > Homo sapiens. The sequence continues at coordinate 84,478,714 of NC_000015.10, read as the reverse complement.
TGGGCCTGCCCCTAGGTGGAAGAGCATCTGATCCAGTACCTGCACGATGGGAGCAAGACACTGACGGTTTTGTCCTGATGGCTAATGCCTCTGAGATGGACCGCCAGAGCCATCCTGTGGCCTTCACTGTCACCATCCTGCCTGTCAATGGCCAACCCCCGACCTCATACAAACTCAGGCCTGCAGGTGAGCATATTCCTGGGACCACCCCCAATGTCTGCTTTGAGAAAGAGGCCAATGTCCCCTACTTCCCGGCACAGATCTCCCCCCCTCTGAGCCTCAGTTTCCTCCTCTGCAAAATGAGGACACTACTGTGTGCCTCACGCAGTTGTTGGAAGGAGAGATGTGAGATTGTGCTGAAATAGAACACAGGCGGGAGGTTTTGTTATTGGACATTTGCAAGTACGGCAGGCAGACTTCTGAGCAGCCAAGGGTGGCTCTGCTGTTCCTTCTCCTGTGGCTTAGGACCAGAACACCTGAAAGAATCACTTACAAGCCCTTAAGGGCTGGCGTCAGGGTGGGACCGTTAAGCTTCCCACCTTCACCCCAGCAAGTGAAGGCCTCAGCTTGGCTTCCCAAACTCCTGCCCCTTGTCCACAGCAGAGCAGGGCCCCCATTTGGCAAAGGTGGAAGTTGAGGCCCAGACATGGGATGGAACTTCTCCATGATTGCAAAAGTAGTTCTGGTGGAACAGAAAGGGCATGGCTTTACTAAGCCCAAGTGGCAGGGCTTTGAACCCCAGCTTCTGGGGCGCGTCCTCCCCAGTCAGCAGAAGCCACTGAAGGTTCCGCAAGAGGGCTGACTTGGGCTGTCTCTGACATGGGGCACCGGGGGGCTTTGGTGGTCTAGGATGTGCCTGTAGGGGGTGGCCTCATGGTGCGGAGGCCACAGAAGAGTGGGACACAGCACCCTGGAACCACAGGCTGGGATGGCTCTGTGGCAGTGCGGCCACCAGGTGGTGCCATCTACCCGTGTTTGTTCCGGGAGCCCAGTGATGGGGCCCTGCCTCCCACAGTATGGCCCCTCTTGCCAAGGCTCGGCCTGAGGGCTCCCTGCGGCCAGGGGAGGAAGCCCAGGAATGCCAGAGGGCTGTTTTCTGGGCATGTGAGTCCCACTGCAGCACTGCCCACAAGTAATTGACCCAGCAAGACTGGTACCAGGACCTCAGGAACGGGTGCCTGTTCTGCTTGCTAGTGGGAGGCCTGAAAAGGGGCCCCCTTTGCCCAACACGAGGAGGGCCCGTAACTGCTCTGGAAGCACCTGGGCCCATCCCAGCACTGCTTCTGTGCTGCAGGACAGTGCCAACCATCAGGCTTCAGCTCTCTGCGCCTCCCACCCCTCCCTTAGCTGGAAGGAGTGCTCGTTTCTAAAATCACTGTTCCCACCTGTGCCCAGCCCCTGCCAGGCACACATGGAGGGTCTGAAAGGAGACTGCTGCCCCACCAGTGAGACAGATTAAGGAGCACTGTTGGTCAGCGCTGGGGGTTTCTGGGGGTGAGAACTTGGTGAGGGTAAGAGCTAGGGCCTTCCTGGGTTGGGTACACAAGCTGGTCTTGAGGGACACACAGGACTAGGACAGATGAAGAGCAGGGATGCTGGGCCTGGAGGGTGGCCTTCCCTGGGGTGACAGGGAAGGTGAATGCAGGGAGGCCATTTGTGCAGGGGAGCCACAGCAGCGCCAGCCTTGATGCCACCTGAGGGCCTGAGCCTCAGTGGGGTTGGAGCCCTGGTGGCAGCCCAGGGCCGGGGAGGAAGGGGTGGGTAAGTGTGGCAGGGCAGAACCTTCACAGGCCTGTGTCCCCAGACGTGGGAGGGGGCCACCGTGCCCATCCCTACAGAGGCTCTGAGGAGCATGGATGGTTACTCTGGGCCCAAGGACCTGGTGTACACCATTAAGCAGCCCAGCAATGGGTGGGTAGTGCGGTGGGCGGTGCCGGGCACTGAGGTGCGCAGCTTCATGCAGACCCAGCTGGATGGTGGGCTCGTGCTGTTCTCACACAGAGGTGGGTGCTGAGGGCCGAGCCCCAGGTTTCTGCTGCCCACGGGGGCACCCTGAGGTGGGGAGCCAGTTCAGGCCAGCTGGACCCAACACCCTTGTCCCCAGGGGCCCTGGACAGAGGCATCCACTTTGGCCTCTCTGACGGTGAACATACTTCCTCCAGACACTTAGCTTCTGAGTGACGGCCCAGAAGCAAGTGCTTCACTCGCTGGAGGGCAGCCAGACACTGACTGCCCAGGTGGGTGTGCTGATTGTGGGCATTCCTGGGTGCAGGGGGCTGGGGCAGAGCTGAGGGTGGCATGCCAGGGTCACACTGCCTCTCTGCAGCCACAGGCCTCGGCCTGGATCACAAAGGCTGATGGCCCCTTTTGCCTCTGGCAGAGTCCGTCCAGCCACTCAGCAGCCAGAGCCTCAGAGCCAGCAGGCACCGACCCCCAGCTCCTGCTCTACCATGTGGTGCGGGGCCTCCAGCTAGGCCGGCTCTTCCACGCCCAGCATGACAGCACAGGGGAGGACCTGGTGAACTTCACTCAGGCAGAGGTAAGGGCCCCACTCTGCAGCCACCACTCAGATGCGCCCAGCCTCAGGTGGCCACTGTGCCATGGACATCATGTGGACATGGGCACCAGCTCCAGCATCACCGGCAGCAGACACTCCCAGGCCTGCCATGGTCCAGGACCTGGTGTCCTGCCCTCTAGGCGTCATCAGGCTGGCAGGGCAAGTTCATGTTCCCAGAAGGAGGGAGAAGAATGCAGGAAGTCGGGGATACAGGGCCCTAGAGCAGGGCTGGGGTCTTGGGGTGTGGCTTCCCAAAGGAAGCTAGAGCTGGACCCAAGGGTCTGGAGAGGGAGAACCATGTAGGGGCACTAGTGGCACCCCAGTAGCTGGTGAGGGGCAGTGCTTGGTGGGGGATGGAGTCGGAGGTGAAGCAGCTGCTGGGGCCTGTGGGCAGAGGTGTGAGCCTCGGGCTCAGATCAGGTGCCAGCCAGAGGAAGAGTGGATCCTAGGAGCAGATGAGCTGATGAAAGGCAGCTGAGTCGGCCAAAAGGGGGAAGCCACTGTTCATCTGTCCTGGTGGCTTCAGAGAAGAACTAGAGCTCTCAGCCATGGGTAGTGGCAGACTCTCTGTGGTAATTGTGCCATGGGGGCCAGCCCAGTCATGGTTTAAATGAACACCTCTCCCCAAAGGCAGAATGGGAGTTGTTCCATAGCAGGGCAGGGCAGGGCAGACTCTTGTGGGCCGTCCTGGGCAGGCAGCACACCTGATGCCCCCATCAGGAGGCTGCGTGAGCATCTGGACCCAGCACATGATCACAGTGAGTTCTGGGCAGGGAGCGGTCTTGTGGGGCGCAGAGCTGACTCTGTCACTCAGGAGCCACGGCCCGCAGCACTGCCCCAAGTACCTCCAGAGGGGACCCCTGTCAGCCCTTGAAAATGGCAGAGCCCACCCCAGCCCCCTTTTCAAGCTCCCTTGCTTCGGCAAGGACCTCCTGAGCCCGGCGCTCTCCCTCCTGAGAGGTGCAGATGGTACTCAGCAAGTGCAAAGCCGAGGTTTCTTGGGCCTCTCACATCAGCACCTCCCAGACCTGGGTTCTGTATTTCCCTGGAGCTCCACTCCTGCTATGGTGCCCTTCCCACAATGAGATATTCATCAGGTTGGTGTCTACAGCTGCTGCGTACCCTCACTTGCTGGGAGCCTTTGTCAAGAATGCCCAGGAATGAGGAGGGCACAGGACGCAGACCATCAGCAACCCTCTTGCACTCTATAGTCCCATGTTACTCAGAGCTTCCCCATGCTCCAGCAAGATGAAGGACTAGATTGAATGGGCACCAAGCTGACAGTGCCACCCAGGAAAGCCGGGAAGAGGCTACATGGGCTACCTGGCCCACTCAGGGAGGAGGGCAGGACTGGGTATTGTCTTGACAGCAACCCTGTCCCACAACACTGAACTGGGTAGGGAAGGGGTCAGGTGTCCTCATTTTTCAGATAAGAAAACTGAAGCTCCCAGAGGGCAGGTAAATGTATTCAGAGCACAGGGCAAGTAAGAGGCAAAACTTCTGCCAGCAAGTCCAGGATTTTTTTCACCAGAGGACATTGCTTGGTCCCCAGACCTCAGGACCCTGTGTTTTGCCTCACTCCCACCCACAGAGCTCCTGTATCCAGGTATCAACTCCAACTCCCACTCCTGGAGGCCGAGGCAGGAGGATCACTTGAGCCCAGGAGTTCGAGACCAGCCTGGGCCACATAGTGAGACCTTGTCTCCACACAAAAATTTTAAAAATAGCTGGGCTTGGTGGTGGCATGTGCCTGTAGTCCTAGCTACTCGAGAGGCTGACGTTGGAGGATCACTTTGAGCCCAGGAGGTGGAGGCTGCAGTGAGCAGTCATCACTGTACTCCAGCCTGGTGACAGAGCGAGACCCTATCACCGCCCCCCCGCCCCACCAAAAAAAAACTGAGTAGACAGGTGTCCTCTTGGCATGATAGGTCTTAAGTCCCCTCCCAGATCTGTGACATTTGACAGGTGTCTTTTCCTCTGGACCTCGGTGTCCCCATCTGAGTGAGAAAAGGCAGTGGGGAGGTGGATCTTCCAGTCGAAGCGGTATAGAAGCCCGTGTGAAAAGCCATACTCCAAGGGGCTCCAAGTCCAGCGCACAGTCCCAGAAGGGCCCAGCAAGGCAGCCAGGGCGGCACAGGCACCAGGTCCCAACCTTCTTCCCTGTTTGCCCACTCTCAGACCCCGGAGTTCATCATCTCGGAGCCGCTGGCCAATATGTACTCATGTGGGAACCAGAACACACTGATGGAGGAGTTGGCAGAGCAGGCACAGCAGCACGACGAGATGCTGCACATGCACCACGCGCTGAAGGAGGCGCTCAGCATCATCGGTGACATCAACAGGACCACTGTTACCATGCCCCCGCCCGTGGACGACACCTGGTTGCAGGTGCAGAGCATCCCTGACGCACACAGGTACCAGAGACTGCCCCCCACGGCCCCAAAATCCCCCACCCGGGATGCCCAGAGGAGTGCCCTGGGGACAAGTGGCACACCCCCTCACCGGGGTGGCTCCCACCTGGAGTGACGGGGGGAGCTTGACAAGGAGCACTGGCTGCAGGGGGGGGGGGGTGGGATGTTCTCGCTGCTGGGGGCGGGGCTTAAGCTCCGGCAACCGCCTTGGGGTGTGGCAGGGAGGAGCTTCGGTGCATGGGTGTGGCCGGCACTGCGCTGGGGCGGGGCCGCCCATCTCTCCCCTCCCTGTGCCTCCCAGGTCGCCCAAGTCCAGCGCCAGGATGCCCAGGCCCTGCCATGTCCCTAGCCCGGCCTGGGTGGCAGGGCCCAGCTCCTGGGCGGCAGGACCCAGCTCCTGGGCTTCCTCCTGCTGGGTCCGCCCTTGGGGAAGTGTGCCCCATACCCTCCAGGCCAGAGGCTTCCCCTGATCCCTTTGGGCCCTACCCCCCTGGTGCTCTTGTGCCCCAGCCGGGGTCCCCAGGTAAGTAGGGGCTGAATGCAGCCAAAGAGGCCGCTGGACAGGCGTGGCCAGGAAGGAAATGGGACTGGATTCCAGAGCACCACATCTGGCCGCCAGAACTGGCCGTCTCCATCCAAGGCACTGGGACCATGGGTGCCGGAGCCACGTGTGGCCGAGGGCTGGCAGAGCCTGCCCCCCAGGGATCACTGAGTCCTGGAGGTGGTCGTTTTTGAGGAGGGGGCTGTGGGGCTCGTCCCACCTGCCGCCTTCTGTCCAGCACTTGCATGACACTTCCCTCTATTTTCACTCTTGGCGGCTGCCCACACTTTGCATTTCTCTTCCTTTCTTCTCGCTGTCCTCCATCCTCCATTCCGTCCAACTCCTAGCCCAGTCCCGGGGGCGCCTACTTCAGGTCTGAGAGTCTGAACTCCGAGATGCTCTGGGTGTGTGGATTTCCTTCAGCTACCCTGATGTCCCCACTTCCAAGTCCTGACTCCTTTGAGCCATCCCAGGGGGTGTCCGGCCACTGGACCACAGGAGCAGAGGCGAGTCTGTGACTGTGTGACCAGCAAGGTGTGTGATGTGTGCGTGAGCGAGCACACGAGTGTAAAGAATGGCACCCAGACCTGAGCTAGGACAGAGGGAGCCTGGGGGCCACAGGCAAGCTCATTTCTTCTCCACACCCCTCCCCGCCCGACCCTGTCTAAACTAATGGGGTAGTGGTAGCCGCAAGGGCAGGGATGGGAGTGGCTGAAGCCTACTTCACTCCCAAAGATTTCTAAGGAAAATGGTTCTACTGCATCCTTTGGCTGGGCCTTGTTGACCCGTGACCCTCTTTCAAGAACATTCACTCTGATTTCCAGTGTGCCGTCTCCACTGGCCACGTTCTCTAAGGAAGAACAATAGCATCTGTTTTTGTTTCCAAATGGCTGGAGAGTGGGGCTGTGGGACCAGCGCCCATATATAAAAATGAAGCAGGGATTGGGGCTTGCCCTGTGATGTGCTGTTGACCAAGTTAGAGGGGTATAGGCAAGCAGCAAAGTATTGGGCAAGATCACTGGACTGGGAGTCCAGAGATGCTGCTTCACCCTGGGGCTTTAGGCAAGTCCCTTTCCCTCCCAGAGCCTCAGCATCCCTTTTAGCAAATTATGACATTCTGCCTTTCTCCTAGAATGGCTGTGGGGATCAAGGGAGACAGTGGCCATAGGGATGCTATGTTAACCGTAGATGCGTCTGTAGGAGCACTTTCCTAACTGCCAACGTGAGTTCAGACTGTTCAGGCTATTTGGCACCCAGGTCTATGGTGAGGTGTGACATATGGGATGTAAAGTTTGATGCCTGCTCTGACTCCAGTCTTGCTAACACACACACGAAACCTTTGGCAAATCATGACCCTGCCTTGGGGAAAAGGGCAGTCTGGGAGAGCTTCTTCAAGGCAGCCTGGCTTCAATGCAGTCTGGGGCATGACGGAGATAGGCATACGTTGTGAGGAACTGGAGGGTAACTGGGTAAAGAGCTGCAGTGTGGGCAGAGGTGTAGTGTGGGTCACAATGAGGATAGCCACTGGCCAAAGCAGGGAACAGAGACAGAATGAAGAGCTCTGTGGGGAGGGTGGGGCACAGGGTGGAGAACCTTCAAAGTCCAAAGAGTATGACTTGTTGGG